>NC_000001.11:238608364-238759879 GCF_000001405.40 Homo sapiens | reverse complement strand
TGGCGCAACCTCAGCTCACTGCAACCTCCGCCTCCTGGGTTCAAGCAATTATCCTGCCTCAACCTCCTGAGTAGCAGGCATGCACCATTACGCCCGGCTAAGTTTTGTATTTTTAATAGAGACAGGGTTTCACCATGTTGGTCAGGCTGGTCTCGAACTCCTGACCTTGTGATCTGCCCACCTCGGCCTCCCAGAGTGCTGGGATTACATGTGTGTCCATTCCAGTTTTAATATGTTGTTTTTACTTTCTACCCTGGCCCTCTTTTTAAAAACTAGGTTCTTTATCTTTTTTTAATAATACAAAATTTAAAAATATCCTGGATGCTATTTCTTCCACTGACATACATACGTTGTATTCAGCATATAATTACTAAGTAGTCTTTAAATTTGATTCAGTTTTTTTGTAAAAAAGTTATAATTTTGGCCGGGTGCAGTGGCTCACACCTGTAATCCCAGCACTTTGGGAGGCCAAGGTGGGCAGATCACAAGGTCAGGAGATCAAGACCATCCTGGCCAACATGGTGAAACGCCATCTCTACTAAAAAAAAATACAAAAAAAAAAAAAAAATTAGCCGGGCGTGGTGGCGGGCACCTGTAGTCCCAGCTACTGGGGAGGTTGAGGTGGGAGAATGGCATGAACCCAGGAGGTGGAGTTTGCAGTGAGCCGAGATTGTGCCACTGCACTCCAGTCTGGGCAACAAAGCGAGACTTCGTCTCAAAAAAATAAATAAATAAAAAAGTTATAATTTCAAATATATCAACATGCTATTTTATGATTTTTTTTCTCCTAAGCTTAATAAACCTTTTCCTATTCTAAAGCTAAATCATATTCTCTTTACGTATTATTTTAATGATTTTGGTGTAAGCTTCTCAAGATTTGGTCTTGGTCTTTCTATAATTTTTTTCTTTGTCAAGTATTCACATTGGAAATCAAAACGTTTAAATAAACTTTTACTGAGGTATTAAAGTGCAGGACAGTTCTCTGGGTGGTTTTGGAAGGACTCCATTTGCCCTCCTTTTCTACTCGTAGTTCTCAAGAATAACTGTAGAATGTGCTGGGAATGCAATATTCTGAAATAAGAGACTGGCTGGAACAGGCTGGGCTCTGTCTCAACAACAACCCCTAGAAAAGGATGTGGTTCAACAGTTTAGCCCAGTCCACCCTGGGAGCCTAGAGTGTAAGACCCAGTGGAGCTGCTTTCTGGAGTCCTGCAGCTGTGGTGCAAGTGAGGCATACGCAGCTCTCCAGAGTCTTGGGAGACCTGAACACAGGTCAATTTTCTCTTTGTCTGTCACTGTTGGAAATGCATCTTCTTTTGTGCGCCTGGACACATGTATGTATGTATATAGGTGCGTATGTGTATATGTATGTGTGTAGACTATATCATGGCATGTTATTTTTTCTAAGAAAGTATTTAAAGGTTGTCAGTTTGCTTAGAGAGTCAATACCCATTCCACAGTTTTCCACTTCAGCAGTGTGAAACAGACTACAATAAATCCTAGGCTTCTGCTGCCTATCTGTAAGTAATAAATTGGCTTCACATGACTTGTTGAGGACTGTGAACCTGCTTCACATAAATAAACACATATATGAAATAAAGCAAACTGCTTAATATCAATTTGTGAATGTAGGCAAGAATAATGTGGGCTCAAAAACTTTAGGTATGGGTCGAATTAGATACATGACAGGGTTAGTTTACGAGATGCGTGACAGTTACTCAAAATCAGCCATAAGATGTGTGTGTTAGTTACAGGAGAAAGGTACAGGATTTACCAGACACAGTGCTCAAACAGCAGTGCTGTTATGAAACCGAGAAACTGAGCATTTTAATATGCAGGATGAATTTGACCTTGATTTTGTTTGTTTTTGATCCTTGATGAATATGAATGCCAAGAGAAAGCTACTGTGGTCATTTGTAAAAGATGCATTTGAAAGTCTTGAATTTTTGTATTCACATTAATAACTGCAGAAGAGCGATAAGTGATTCCTTTCTTCCTTTGTCTATCAAAAATAAGTATCACATATTCCATAATGATGTTCAAGCATCTCCTACACTAATTATACAATTTTCTCTTTGTCTCTCGCTGTTGGAAATGCATCTTCTTTTGTGCGCCTGGACACATGTATGTATGTATATAGGTGCGTATGGGTATATGTATGTGTGTAGACTATATTCTGGCGTGTTATTTTTTATAAGAAAGTATTTAAAGGTTGTAAATTTGCATAGAGAGTCAATACTCATTCAACAGTTTTCCACTTTAGCAGTGTGTAACAGACTACAAGATCTTCCTTTAGAAATTAAAGAATTAATTTTTCTTCTTTCAGCACTGATGAGAAACATGACAATAATGTATTCTTTTTCTTATAAGGTAAAATATAAAGTGCTTGGGATTCTCTTTTAACCTTGGGATTCAGAATTATTTACTCCGGGATGTAGCTAGGCATTGTTATTGTTTTCTGTTTTCATTCATTCTCAGCACTTGGTAGGTCTATAATAGTCCAAAGACTCATCAGATCTGCTCTTAGAAATGCCACATTTCTTCCTTCCTCCCTCTCTCCGTCCTTCCTTTCCCTTCCCATCCCTTCCTTCCCTTTCCCTTCCCTTGTTTCCTCCCCTCCCCTTCCCTTCCCTTCCCTCCCCTTCCCTCCCCTTCCCTCCCCTTCCCTCCCCTTCCCTCCCCTTCCCTCCCCTTCCCTCCTCTTTCCTCCCCTTCCCTCCCCTTCCCTTCCCTGGTTTGTTCACTCCAATCTGTTTTCAAATTCTAGAATTCCTAGTAGAAGACATTTGACTCTTCAGATCGATTTTCTGTGTCTCCACTTTCAAATCCTACTTTCTCTCTCCTATTTCTTTGACACTAATCCCTTGATTCCATCTCCCTGTTTATTCATTAACTTTTCATGCATGCCTTCCTTACTGTTTACTGAAGTTTTGTTTGTTTTGTTTTATTACAAATTGACTTTGAATTTCCAAGATCTCAAATTGGTTCTAATTGGTTCTGTTTCATAACATACAAATGGTTGTTATGCAAATTTATCATATATGAAATTATACAACATTCCCCTCACCAGAGTAATGTACTTAATTGTAAAGTTTTCTTTGGGCTTTATTGTTTTCTCAGATTTTTTATGTTTTGTACGAAGAACTTTGTATGATTATTTTTGTGCATGAAATATCTTGTTTGAGTATCTGCTGATGCTTTATCTAGTGGCTATAATCTGTTACCATCTTGAGATACTGTGGGAAGAGTGCCGTATATTTCTGAATGTGATATATTTTGAGCACAGTTTTTCTCCCTTTCCAAAGTTTACAATAACGTGCCAGAATATAGTCTACACACATACATATACACATATGCACCTATATACGCACCTATATACATACATACAATTGCCTGGGAAACTGACCTGACTCAGGTCTGAACTGTCCAAATTTGCAGTCCTTGGGGAGACAGCATGCAGAGAGTGGCAGAGCAGCCTCGCTACCCTGGAACATAGTTGCTGGAGATTTCCATTGCTCACATTTTTCAGGCCTTTAGTTGCTCTGTCTTCTCCCTTTCTATGGTCTGATCTTGCATATGTTTGTGCCTGAGATTTTCTACAGCTTTGTTTCTCTATTGGTCTTATTCCAACTCCTTTAGTACCTCCAGGAATTTCTCAAACATCAGATATGTTTATGCCTTCATTGTAAACCAATGTTGTTTTTGATGGACTTTTAAGAAATTGTAAATATATTCTAATTATTTTCACTAATCTGTGTTGGGATGGTAGGTACATACACCAGAATCTGTTTATTTTCTCCCAACAAATAACAATAGATTAGCTAGAGCTCCACAAGAAGAGAAAAAAGAAAAAGTACCTTAACCTCTACTTCATGTCATGCAGAAAGAAATGAATTCAAGATGTTCAATAGATGTAATTCTAATTGACAAAATGACAAAGCTCGTATGAGACCACATAGCAGATTTCCTTATTACTTTGGAATAAGCAAGATTTTCTGCAGTGAACACAATAAACTATTGATCATAAAAGAAATTGCTTTCTATAATATTTGCATAAGATATAATTACTAGAGCATTAAAAAAAATACTGGCTATCTGAACAATGGAGTAAATTACTGAGGTGAACTTCCAAACCAAGAGAGTCAACCTGAAAATTTAACAAAATAATCCAAAATTTAAAAAATGCCCAGAGTAATAGTATTGTTAACAGAAGACCATGGCATCTATAGAGGACAAAGGGAAACATTTATTTTTCATAAAAAACAATCTGCAGACTGGGGAAGCATAACCTCCAGGACAAGTGAAGGTTTGCTCTTCAAAACACAAAGAAAAGGTCTGGCTAAATAGGATGAGTCCTCTCCTCAGTGTCAAACAGGTCTATTTATGCAAATGAAAGATTCAGACATGTTCCGTTCTGATTGGCCAAAATACTTGAGCACTGATTGGGTGATTACCAAGCCCAAAACCCAAAGTCTCTCTCAGATGTTTTTTCAAAGAACTGCTTAGGAAGGTGAAGATTCCTGCCACAGTTTATCCTGGCACCCACAACAAGGACTGGATTGACCTGATTCTAGAAAGGGGGATCCTGTGACACTTTTCCATCTTTCTGAGAACAGAATATGTGGCCACTCCCACATCCAGTTGTGGCTGCCTGGTTCTGTTTTAACTTTGAGCCCCTCAGGTAGCCATTGGGAGTCCATCTTGTCTGTTGGCCAGAGACATAAATTAACAGTGCTTATGAGTGCAGAAATTTTAAATAGATGAAATGTGATCAAATTAAGAAATGGCTAGATAAATAGTGGCCGATAGTGTGATGGATAATATGCAATCTTTGTGAATGATTTTTGAGACAGTTTCGCTCATGTTGCCCTGGCTGGAGTGCAGTGGTGTGATCTCAGCTCACTGCAACCTCTGCCTCCCGGGTTCAAGCAATTCTCCTGCCTCAACCTCCTGAGTAGCTGGGATTACAGGTGCATGCCACCATGCCCGGTTAATTTTTTGTGTTTTTAGTAGAGATGGGGTTTCACCATGTGGGCCAGGCTGGTCTCAAACTACTGACTTCAGGTGATCCCCCTGCCTCGGCCTCCCAAAGTGTTGGTATTACAGGTGTGAGCCACCATGCCGAACCTTAATGGTTTTTAATGAAGAGGTACAATGAATCACGGTCAAGTGGGATGCTTTCAGCTTTTGAAATACCTTAAGAAGATATAGGAGAAAGGATATATTAAAATTACAGTTTATTGTTAAGTAAATTAGTGGTGATAATTTTCTTTTCTCAATTTTTTTCTTCCTATTTAGTGACTACTATTATTATTATTACTATTATTTTTGAGACGGAATCTCACTCTGTTGCCTAGGCTGGAGTGCAGTGGCACAATCTTGGCTCACTGCAACTTCCAACTCCTGAGTTCAAGTGATTCTCTTGCCTCAGCTTCCCGAGTAGCTGGGATTACAGGCGCACACCACCACAACTGGCTAATTTTTGTATTTTTAGTAGAGACAGGGTTTCGCCATGTTAGCCAGGCTGGTCTTGAACTCCTGACCTCAGGTGATCCACCCACCTCGGCCTCCCAAAGTGCTAGAATTACAGGCATGAGCCACCACGCCTGGCTGTGACTATTATTTTAAAGTTAAATTATAATATATAGTAAAATTATGATACACATATATAACATTCTAACTATATCCCTCTTTTAGTGTTCATTTCCCTGGACTTTATTTCTTATTATTATTTCCCATCTTGGGAGAAACAAATGTGTATTTTGAGTGCAAATAATGTTGTGAGATCTTTTCATTGGAAAAGACCTTGTTTGGAAATCATCTATGTACCATGACTGTGCTCCGCTGGTTTTCTTGTCACCTTCATTTGCCAGAAGATTAAAAGAGAGAGGCCCCAATACCATAAAGTGTCTTGCAAGTCACATATATTTTCAGTATGAAATACTATGCTCATGTAAAACTTGGTAGTTTGGGTAAACTTTTATGTTGCATACGGATAGACAAAAATAATTACTTTATACTCCAAGTGCTTTTTAAACATTGATTTGATAACAGCTAGATAAATTATTTTGGAAGAATTTGGTAGATTTTCTCATTAGGATGCTGGTGAGACTTTTCTAACTAAAATTCGTTTATCAAAATTCAAATTAAAAATGCTGATACTATTTTAGCTTGGAAATGAAATCCCCCATCATTTCCTTTTCACATAAAATGGTTTTAAGGCAGGACTGTTCCTGAATTGGTTTCAACTGAAGTGTCAATATGACAGCTATTCATTCCCAAATTGAGTGTGAGGGAGTTTTCTGTATGCAGAAATCACAAAGGAGTATTTTAAGAATTGGTTCCATGAGGCTTGGACTCTTCAACATGATAAAGGATTTAAATTTATGGATAAGAGTGGAAAGAGAGGGAGGGTGTTAGGCAGAAATTTCTTTGGAAAGCGTTTGCCAGACTAAGTCCGCCCACAGGAAACAATGGTAGGAGTATTACCTCCTTCATCTCAGGCCAGCAAGAGCTGGCTGCAAGACCTTCAAAGGTGTGTTCTGTGACAGAAGCAGGAGTAGTGATTGACTCACCCTGATAAAGCTGACATAGCCCATGGCAGAAAGGCAGAAGTGGCTGTGTGCGGCGTCATCTCCAGACTCAATTTATTAAGGCAAGGAAATTTGCTTTTGTCGCATAGTTATGGGCTGTGTGAGGGAGAAAAACAATGTGGGGTCGTACTGGGCCTTGGCTTTTAAGCTCTCCAAGAGAGGCAGAGAGAATCTGTCAGCAAAAAAACCAGAGAAAAATGTGATGTTCATAGTGATTATATGAGATGTTCCATGTGAACGTCCTGGGTTGAAATGCATCCAGTTGAGCCAATGCAGGAAAGAGATCTCCAGGGATAGAGTTCGCTGGAGAGGTAAAAAGTGCTGCCTAAGAAAGTGGGCTCAGCTCTTTAGGAAAACACTAGTTCAGGTGAGACATTTCTTATTCTGTTGCAACTCTTTTTACCATTCTTGATCCCCACTCCCAAGCTTCGCCAGACTCAAAAAGGATCAGAAATTGTGTAGCAAGCTGGGGGTGGGTTGGAGAAGTTTAAGGTGAAGAAGCAAAATGAAGAATCCATAAACTCTTTCTCTAAAGTCAGGCTGCCACTAACTGCAGCCTTAAGCAAGGGGAAGTGCAGGAGAGTCTTAATTTTGAATGAAGGTAAGGATTGATTTTCATCTTGACAGAGGTGCGTTTCATCCTTTAATCATCGAGACTGTATTTGAAATTTAAATTGACTACAGGACTGTCTAGCAGTTAAGGAAAGTATGCAGTTCTGGGCATTGAATCACATTCTTGCTTCAGTGGTATGTTTGTGAGACAGAATCAAGGGTTATTTTTATTCCAGGACACTTGCGTAAGGTATTAATTAAGAAAAGTGTACATACTCAGGCTTGGTATTTGAAGGAACCAGCAAAGGTTCTTCAGCTTTAAGAAGGAACTCAGGCTTGGCATTACCATGGCAGCAGATGCTGACTGCATATTTGTTCCTTACCTGGCCTACCCCAGGGATTCACCTGTCTCTTAGCCCAATCAGGCAGTATCTTACTAATTTCCTTCGACACTAGGCTTAAATATAGAGTTAGCATCTTTGGTGGAAATAACTTATTGAAAATGTTGTTTTAGAGAAAAATAAGACTTTCTTTGCCTTGACTCGTATTTACGAGTCATTAAACCATAAAATGCCCTGCTAACATCTTTGACTTGCTCATCGCCTTTTGACATAATTCAAAGGAACATATAATGGAGCAACACAGAACCAAAAACCAAATGTGAACGATACTTTAGGTGCCATTTATTGACTATGGGGCATGGGGTATGCTTCTTTCCAGAATGCATACATATGTGTAAACTTTCAGAATATAGTAATTGCAATTAAAATTTCAGAATTCCTACATTTTTCTTTTTCCTTTGGTAAATATTTTGAGAGTGTTCAAGAATCTTTTTATTTGAAATCTAAGTTTTTTTTATTCTGAAAATCTTGCATTGTCATAGAAGTTGAGATTTTCTATAACGCTTTGCAAAAGGATAAAATTATAATGCAGTCACTGAGGGAAGAGGGATACAACTGTGAAAAAGCAGTATGGCAATTCATCGGCTATGGCACATGCTTTCTACATTAGAAATAAATGCTTTCAGGGAAGAATATTTAAAAGAAATAACATTATTTAAGAAAAAGTAATGCATGGAAGAAGGCATACTACCTACAGGTGGTCATTGAATATATTGGGTATATTTTATCACCCAGAAAACAATCACTGGATATGAGAATAATACAACAATTTAGATGACTATTACATTTGTAGAAATCCACTCCACTGTAGAAAAAAATGCAATCCTTGTAGTGATTTGAAATCTGATTAAAAATCCCTTATGTACAGAAGGTAAATACACCTTTTTTGAGCGGTGCAAGCTCTAGCGTCCATGAGTATTAGTTTCCTGAAGCTGTTGTAACAAAACCTCACAAAATGGGAGGCTCAAGAAACAGAAATTTATTGTCTCACAGTTTCCATCTGAGATCAACGTGTCAGCAGAGCCCTATTACCTCTAAAAGGTCTAGGAAAGACTCTGTTCTGGGGGTGTCTCGTGGCTTCTGGTCATTCCATGGCTTGTGGCAGTGTAATTCCAATCTTCACATGACATTTCCCCAGTGTGTTTATCTCTGTTCAAATTTCTCCTTATGTAAAATAACCAGTCATATTGGATTAGAAGACTACCCTACTTCAGTAAGACCTCATCTTAACTTAAATAATTACATCTACAGTGATATTATTTCCATATAAGTTTATTTTTCTGAGGTATTAGGGGTTAGGACATCAATAAATTTAAAGGGGAGTGGTCTCAATTTAACCAACTATAACTTAATATGAACAAGAAGATGGAATGTCTCATGGGAATCACGACAGAATGCTATGACTTTTACTTTTCCAAAATCTAGACCACAGTTGGATGATGTTGTAATAAAGAATGCTTCCAGATAAAACACAATTTTATACAGGGAAAATACCATCAACTTTAAATATGGATAGAGCACATAACACACTCCTGGCTTACTGAGTTATTTCCTATTAGGAAAGGTTGTTCTCTATAACAGAAAACTGCAAAGAAGTCACGTGCAGTTTAATACAAAGGTGTGGACAGATCTAAAAGATTACATCTTTAAAGCTTGCACTTTTTGAGAAAAATCTACTTGACAGCAAGCAACGACATATGGACATCAACAATTCCCAATACTTTTGCTGTTGTTGTATACATTGTGCTTAAGTATTCAATAGTCTCTATACATTTTAAATGCTACATAATTCTACCTGACTATTGCCCCCGCAAGCCCTATTCCTTCTTGGGCTCCTTAGTAAATTCTTTTATAGTCATTTGTTATCAACTGATTATGTGTGCATTCCCTACCTTTCCTAAGCTATATGCTGCAGCTTTTATGTCTTCCAGTATGAGCTGTCCTTAAAATCTCCAAACACACAACACTTCTTTTACATTTTGGCTGCGCTTCTAGCTATTCATAAAAATCCATTTCCATTTCTTGCTACACGCACACTTAAATCATGTTTCTCATTCTCCTTTGCACTTAGATGCAGTTACACCAGTGATTTCTAATCAATACTTTGTGAACAAAACTGCATTGTGCCACTCTCAGGTCTGTTTCTAAGTCTGTCTAGTGTGCGCGTCTCCATTTCTTTTTCTTTCGATGGACTGAGATGGAAACAACTCATAAATGACCAAGAGCATACACGTTGAAGATCCAGAGTTCCAGTAAATCTGGGACTATCCTGATCTTTTAGATAGTAAAGAAAAATGCTTCTATATATTGAAGGATTTTTTATGGACCAACATGTTTAGGTCTATACCAGAACTAATGTACACATAATCCTTGATATTTGTTGCAAACATAACTGCCTATGTCTGCTGCATAATCAAGAAATAAACTTCCATGATGTGGAACAACTACATATTTGGTGTCAATGCAGTCTGCCTTATCCTAGCAAATATACAAATGGACAAATACAAATATAGTTACAAACTTAACTTTTATTATCTAAATTCCTTGGTGATACTCCCAGGATATGTGAATTGTTTCACTGATCAGTTCTGGCTTATTTATCTACAACTTCCTAAGTGTGGTAGAAAAATCACTCCTCCATTCTCCATTGAGTTTTTATACCTGCCCCCGCCATATTGAAGTATTACAAGGGCCATTGCAGGGTTTGAGGAAGCCCTACATCTTCAAGTTATCAATGATAGCTTCTAGTCATTTCCTAACTTCTGGTTTTAAAGAATATTGTCTCTGGTTAGGGAAGGAGGTGGTATTCTTAAGGAGGATTCAGACTGGTATGGTGGTTGTGGTTTGGACAATTTCCCCTTGAATAGCCCAAACTTCTGGGTTAATATCAGTCTTCCCTAGAAGGAGACAGAGTCTATCCTGGAGCCATAAGGATGGTAGTCCCCATATGGGCCAGAATATCCCTGATCAACAGAAGAGTTGGGCTTTCAGACATGATTAGAAAGGTGTGGGTAAACAAGAGGTCTCCCCAGTTACAACTAAGGGGTGGGGAAGAATATTGGGTTAAAGGCTTTCCTAAGACATCCCTCATGGCTATGCTAAGAGAGGAGGGGAGGCCCAGATTGGAAAGGAGTAGACAAATGGCTGCTCAGGTATGAAGGAGGAGTTCTACCTTCCTCCCTTTGATGTTCAGAATCAGCTAGGGCTCCTGGATGGTAATGGTGGTCTGAACCACTGGAGCTGGAGAGAGCGGTCCCAGGACCCATCAATCCTGATGGACAATTTGGGAGACTAGCTCTGGACTTGGTGACCTGCATTTCCAGGGACAGTCCACCATTCAGTTATCCCCATTGCAGATTTAACAGGGTCAAAGTGGCTTCCTCAGGCTGCCTGGGAAGTCCTTCCTAAAGTGCTCTGGCTTGCCATATTTGTAGCAGTTAACAGGTGCATCTCAGTGATTCTGGGGCTTGTGAGCCTGCAAGGTGGCGATTAGAGCCTCTGCCTTTTTCTCATATCTCCTCTCTCAGGCCTCCTCCTGATCCCTATTGTAAAAGACCAAGGTGTCCACTTTCGGGAGGTTCTTTAAAGTACTGCCTTGTCCCCTGGCCTGTTTATGCTTCCTCCTGATATCAGGGGCTGCCTGAGTAATAAACATATCCTTTAGGAATAGTTGTCCCTTGACAGAATGAGGAGGTAGAGAGGTATGCTTTACCAAGGCCCCTCTTAGCCTTTCCAGGAAAGCAGAGGGATTTTCATCTAATCCCTGGTCTGTAATGGATAGTTTGGAGTAATTGGGAGGCTTACTTCTAGTCCTTTGGAAGCCCTCCAATATGCACACCTGGAAGTGTTTTCTCCTCCATTCCCCCATTTCATCACTGGGGTCCCATTTAGGGTCCTCCAATGCTACTGCTATCCTTCCAACTCACCCCCTTCCCTGATATTTTATGACTCACCCCTTTCCCTGATACTTTATGAGATACAACTCACCCCCTTCCCTGATACTTTATGAGATACAAAGCTCATCCCCAGATTCTTTGCCACTTGTAGGGCAGCCTGCTTCTCAGTGGTCATCAGGATTTGATTCAAAAGTAACATAATATCCTTCCATGGGAGTTCAAATATTTGGGTTAAGTTCTGGAAAGCTTCTATCTAACTGTCAGGGTCATCTGATAACTTGCTTAATTTGCCTTACGTCCTGTAAGGAAAAGGAAACCTGTACCTTAATGGGACCATATTCCCCAGGCATTTCTTATAGGGGCAGGAGTGAGACTAGAATGTGCCTAATATGAGGATTTCTAGGATGCGGCAAGCTTGAGAGAGAACTTGGATAGGGAGGATGGGGTGGACCAGGAGGAGCAGGACTGGAGGGAGCTGAATCTCCCACTGGAGGGACCTCTGAGGTTTGCTTCCTTAGTCCCTTAGAATTGCCCTTGCAGCCTCTCCTGAGATGGCTGCTAGGAGGGCTGAATCAATCCTACAACCCTGGTGAAGGTCAGGATTACCTTGCAAGGCAAAGAAAGCCTGCACATATGGGACCTCAGACCATTTTCCTCCATGTTTACAGAAAAGGTCCAGATGCAGGAGAGCTTTGAAATTAATGCTTCCCTCCAGAGGCCGGGCCTGTCCTTCCTGCAAATCATAATTCAGCGAAACTTTTGGGCAAAGGAATATGAGGTGCTTTCTTTGTTTCATTTTTTGTTTTTGTTTGTTTGTTTTCCCAGTGTCTGAGGCTCAAATGAGTTTCAGCGATTCAAGATGCACTCAAGAGGAGTGTAAAGGCTAAAGATGGTTTGTTACCTCTATTAGTCCATTTTCACACGGCTGATAAAGATATATCTGAGACTGGGCAATTTACAAAGAAAGAGTTTTAATGGACTTACAGTTCCCATGACCGGGAAGGCCTCACAGTCATGGTGGAAGGCGAAAGGCATGTCTCATGTGGCAGCAGACAGGAGAAGAGAGGTTGTGCAGGGAAACTCCCCCTTTTTAAAACCATCAGATCTCCTGAGACTTAATCACTATCACGAGAACAGCATGGAAACACCTGCCCCCATGATTCATTACCTCCTACTGGGTCCCTCCCACAACACGTGGGAATTCAAGATGAGATTTGGGTGGGGACACAGCCAAACCATATCATTACCCATCTGAGAGACGGGGGGAAAGGCATCCCTTCATTCCTTTCTCTCTTCCAGTGAAAACCTGTGGTATGTGAGGGAGAGAAAAAAAGGTATCCCTTCCTTTCTTCCCTCTTTTCCTTTCCTGAGTCCTGGTGGCCACTAGAGGTGCCACCTATGAATGCGAGTGCGTCCTCCACCCATGAGCAGTAAGGCCTAATCGGTAGGGATAGTTGCGCGTGCCCTACCTTTCTGCTGTCAACTGCTTCTGGGTCCCTCGGATCTAGTTTTCTTTCTAAGGTTCCAAACGAAAGCTTGGAAAATACACTGCAGTGATGCTAAAGTGACATTGTGAAGCCAGATCCTCCTCAAACAAAGGAAAGAAAAGGAGTCTCTGGAATTGGGGATCTGGCCTAATAAGATGCCTCCAAAGAGGAAAAAAACTAATCCCTTGCATAGAAAAGCCTGCTGTATTCACAGGACTATGTTGACTCCTGACATGTTGGAAAAAAAACTTAAATGCAGGGGATGGAACGTGCCTAGAGGAAACAGCCTATTGTCCTATGCTTTTGGGTTTCTTCAGCAGGGAAAAGAAACCTCTCAATCATGGCATACTCCTTGCTTCAAAGAATAGACAGAAACCACGTTGTTCTAAATCATACTCCTAATGACTGAGCCAAGTGCTCAGTTACATTATTTCTCTCTCTGGTTTGCAACAAAACACTTATCATTGAATATAAAAAAGAGATAGGAGCTATGACAGCCTCAAAAGAAAGGATAAAAATGACATAGAAAAGACTGGAGGTCCTAGTGCCAACACCCTAGTGGGCTGTCGGGGACTGGAGCCAGTCCAGGGGCTTTGGATAACACCAAGGTATAACTTCAGCCCAATACCCGCAATTGCCCCAGGACCTCCTTCCCCTCCCACAGATGGCTAGACCTCCGTGAAGGGAAGCTGGATTGAAACAAAGCCAACATTCCCAACACCCAAGGGCAATGGCGGAGTGTTGACAAAGTTCTCCCCAGCAGGCTTGTGTTCTGCACCTGTGCCATTAGCTCTTAACTGGCTGACAGAGCCCGGTGCTTTATCTGTTTTTGGGGAAAAAAAATTCTTAGGACAAGAAGCTTCAGAAATAAAAATGAGAGAGGTTCACTCTTACTCTTCTGACAATCCTGGAAAAGCCCCCAGAAATGACACAGGATTCTTTTGTTTTGTTTTGTTTTGTTTTTTGTTTTCCCGAGATGGAGTCTCACTCTGTCGCCCAGGCTGAAGTGCGGTGGCACTGTCTCAGCTCAGTGGCATTATCTCCGCTCACTGCAACCTCCACCTCCTTGATTCAAGCAATTCCCTGCCTCAGCCTCCTGAGTAGCTGGGATTACAGGTGCCCGCCACCATGCCCAGCTAAATTTTTCATATTTTAGTAGAGACAGGGTTTCACCATCTTGGCCAGGCTAGTCTTGAACTCCTGACCTCATGATCCACCCGCCTCAGCCTCCCAAAGTGCTGGGATTACAGGCGTGGGCCACCGCGACTGACTGACACAGGATTCTTTTGATGCTGCTTTTCAGCTGGAAATCTCAGGCAGCCAGCAGTGCCCCTGCCTGGGCTTTCCTTGGACCTTCTGGGCTTGCTCCATCCAATCAGCCTGGCAGGCTGCACTTGGCTTGTGCTGCCAGCCAGGATCCTGTACTTGTTGCAGCACTGCACTCAGCCCACAGCTGGTCCATGCATGCCATGAATGGTTCCACCTTGAGTGCCAGTGTCTGGATGAGGGGGATTCGGCAGCACCCAACAACTCCGAGATGCTAGCAAACACGGATCCCCAAGAGGTGTTACAGCTTTTGCTTGGCGAGTCCTGAGGTTTGAGCCTCCATGAAGTGTTACAGCTCTCATTTGTTCCTGCTGCCCGCAGCTCGCCCGCAGCTCGCCCGCAGCTCACCCGCAGCTCGGCAAACAAGAGTGTGTGGTGCCCAATGGGTTAGGTTTTTTCACTCCCATAGCCTGGTGAGCAAGAATTTTACAGCTTTTTTTTGCACCCACGATGCAGTGAGTTCTGAGTTATTGTCCCACAACCAAGAGGAATGAGGTACGTGGCAACCAGAGGGTTCACAAGGCAGAGGAGAATTTTATTGAGTGACAGAAAAGCTCTCGGCAGCAAGAGGGGACCTGAAAGCCCTCTGTGTGAGAGGGGGCCTGAAAGTGGTTAGCCATCTGTGAGGTTGAGTCCAGGATTTTTATGGGCTCAAAATAGGGGAGTGCATGCTGATTGTTCTATGGGTAGGCCTCGAAAAAGCATGATTTGATTGGCTAAAAGGCATTGAGGAAGTTTTCACTCCAGTCACTGACTCCACCTGTAACTGGCAGCTTGGTTTTCAGGCTTCAAGCTGATTTTGGTTTGAAGGTCAGATTTCACTAGGGACCCATCCCTGTCTCCCTAGGAATTTGTCTATTGCCTGCTGCTATGATTGCTAGTATCTGCTTAAAATGCCTGTGGTGCTAGTCATCTCTGCATGAACAGTTCATTTCTCCAGTAAACTGTATGTCTGTAAAAAGTTGTATCTCATTTTTCTCATGTATTAAAAAAATCATTTTTAGTGTAATATCGTAAATCTTGAGTAACAGAATGGGACCCATATGAAGTGCTAATAGTGATGCTGGAAATATTCCCAAGGAGCAGAGAAAAGTCATGACATTACAAGAAAAAGTTGATTTGCTTAATATGTACCATGGGCTGAAGTCTGCAGCTGTGGTTACCCGCCATTTCCAGAAAATTAATTCCATGTAAAAGTCATTATAGAAAAGAAAGGACATTTGTGAAGCCATCAGTACAGCTGCACCAGCAGGCACAAAAATCTTACACTTTTTGAAAAATACTTTTTAAATCTTGTATTAAAAATGCAGCTTTTATGTGGGTGCAGGTTTGCTGTAAGAAAGACATAACTATAGACTGTAATATGACTCAAGAAAAGGCAAAGTCATTATAAGACAATTCAAAGCAGAAGGATGGTAAAAGATCTAAAGCTGGAGAATTTAATGTCAGCAAAGTATAGTGTGATAATTTTTTAAAGACGTTTTGCTTAAGCAATGTCAAGGTAACAGGAGAAACAGCTTCTTCAGACCAAGAGACAGCAGAAGAGTTTCCAAGTGACATTAAGAAAATCATTGAGAAAAAAAGATATGTGTATGAACAGGTTTTTAATGCAGATGAAAGTGCTGTATTCTAGGAAAAAATGCCCTGAATGGTATTTAATAGTAAGGAAGAGAGTTGCGCACCAGGATTTCAGGCAGGAAGGGATAGGCTTACTCTGTTGTTTTGTGCAAATGCAGTTGGATATATGATCACAACTACCTTTATCTATAAAGCTGCTAACACCTGACTTTTGAAGGGATAGACAGATGTCGGCTGATAGTTATGTGGTTGTACATTTATAAGGCCTTGACAATGGAAATGCTTCTTCTGGATTGGTTTTGGTGGTGCTTTGTCCCAGAAGTCAAGGACTACCTTGTCAGTAAGGGACTGTATTTTAAAGTTCTTTTAGTATAGGACAATGCCCCTGGCAGGGCAGAACACCATGAATTCAACACTGAAAGCATGGAAGTCATCTATCTGTGTCAAATACATCTCTAATTCAGCCTTAGATCAGGGGGTCATAAGGACCTTTAAAGCTTATTACACATGACACTCTATGGAAAGGATCATCGATGTTATGGAAGAGAACCCCAATAGAGAATAACATCATGAAAGTCTGGAAGAATTACAGCATTGAATATGCCATTGTTGTTATAGAAAATGTCATGAAAGCCATCAATCCCAAAACAATAAATTTCTGTCCAGATGTTGTGCATGACATAGGATTTAAAACAGAGCCAATCAAAGAAATTATGAAAAAGATTGTGGATATGGCAAAAAAAATAAAAGGTGAGAGATGAAGGGTGTCAGAATATGGATCTTGGAGAAATTCAAGCGCTAATAGACACCACAACAGTGTAAATAACAGATGATAACATGATGGAGGTGAGTGCTTCCAAATCAGTGCCAAATGATGAGGAAGAAGATGCAGAAGAAACAGTGCCGGAAAACAAATTCACTTCAGGCAATCTTGCAGAAGAGTTCTGATTTTTCGTGACTGCTTTTGATGTCTCTTATGACATGGACCCTTCTAAGACAGGGGCACTCAAACTAAACCACCAATAGAAGAAAGATTGGTACCAAATAGAAACATTTTTAGAGAAATGAAAAAACAAAGAGTCAGAAATTGCAATGCAATTTCTTAAAGTTCTGTAAAGAGTATGCCTGCCTCTTCTACCTCTCATTCCTCCCCTTCCACCCTCTCCACCTTTTCTGCCTCTGCCATCCCTGAGACAATACCAACCTCTCCTCTTTCTCTCCTCAACCCACTCAACATGAAGACAACAAGATGAAGACCTTTGTGATGATCTACTTCCACTTAATTAATGGTAAATGTATTTTTTCTTCTTTATTTCTTAATATCTTCTTTTCTCGACCTTACTTTATAGTAAGAATATAGTATGTAATACATGAATATAGTATATAATACATGTAATAAATGAATTATGTGTCTATCAACTGTCTGTGTTATTGGTAAGGCTTCCAGTCAAGTAGCTAAAATTTTGGGGAGTCAAAAGTTATATATGAATTTTCAACTGCGTGACATATTGGCTTCCCTTATCCTCATGTTGTTCAAGGATCAACTGGGTTTCATTTTTATACACTTAATATTTGTAATAGCTGTTCCTAATATTGGCAGTGTGTGATTTCCTCCTTTGTTCATGATCAAGAAGTTTATCAATTTTATTAATCTTTAAGAAACAGAAGAGCTTCTGGTTTTGATTATTATTTTTCCATCCCTATTTTATTAAATTCTACTCATCTCTAAATTTTTTTTATTATTAAGAGATTAATTTGCACTACATTCTCTATCTCCTTATGGTGAAAATTTACATTACTGATTTTAGATCATTTTATTCTTGTCAAATATAAGCATCTAAAGTTATAAAAAATTTTCTAAGCCCTGTTGTAGCTATACCTCATGATTTTTGATATGTTATGTAATTGTTTTTAATTTTATTTCAAATTATTTTCTAATTACCCTTGTTACTTGATTTTTGGTCATATGCTATTTAGAAATGTATTATTTAATCTCCAACTATTTGATGATTTTTCCTCAAATAAGATTTCTTTCTTATTGAGTATTAATTTAACTATTAACTGGACAACACACTGTTTATGATTTGAAACTTATGCAGGGGAAAACTTGTTTTTGCTCATCTTATGTTTTGTTTGTTCGTTTTTTGGGTTTTCTGGCAAATGTCTTATGTGCATATGGAGAGAATATGTATTCTGGTTTCATTGGATGAAGTGTCCTGTAAATATCAATCATAGTAGTATTGTTCAAATCTCCTATAAGCGTAATAAATTTCACTTTTGTTATACTATTGAGTACTGGGAAAAGACTATTAAGATTTCCAAATCTAATTTCATATTTGTCCCTTTTTCTTTCAGTTCTTTTTGTTTCAAATGGTTTGAAGTTTAGTTATTACATGCATTTACACATACTTAGAATTGTTTTGTCTTCAGGATAAACTGACTCCTTTATAATTAGGAAATATTTATATCATTGGCAATGCTCTTTGTTTAAATATTATTTTGCCTGAAATTAATATGGGAACTGGCATTGTAATTTCTTTTTATTAGGTATTTCATGCTTTCATTTTTAACCTCTCTATATCCTTATATTTAAAATGAGATTTTTTTTTGTAGACAGTATGATTGGGCCTTGTTTCTTTATTCAGTCTGATAATCTCTACCTTTTAATTTGAGTATTTCGGTCATTTACGTGTAATAAAGCCATCAATATTATAGGATTTAAGTCTATTCATTTACTGCTTGTACCCTTTAATCTGATTTAACATTTGTTACATTTTATGAATTAAATTTATAATTTTAATCTCTTTTGTTGATTTATAATTTCAAACATTTGTTTGAAATTTTTAGTCATTACTTTACAGCAGTGGTTGGACATTATGGCCTTGAGGTATCACTTATTTACAAACTAAGTTTTAATGGAACATGCCAAACACATTCCTTTACCTTGTCAGTGTAATTGTCTAAGGCTGCTATTTGATGCCATAGTTGAGAAGCCGATGCAGAGAATGGATGGCCCGCAAGTTTAAAATATTTACTATCTGACCCTTTATGGAAAAGTTTCTATACCTATACATAAGAGTTTCAAAATGCAGCTTTAATTTATTATAGCTGACCTCCATGTAATGTTATACCAATTCAAGCACAATGTGTAAGAGCTTTACACCAGGATACTTCTCACCCCATTCTTTGTGCTGTTTTCTCAAATATTTTTATTTTCATGTATGTTACAAACCTCCCAATATATTCTAATTGATCTTATTTTTAAACAGTGCTTTGTGATACATTTTTTAATGAGAAGTACATTTTTTATCTAAATATTTGTTGTTCCCACACCCTTCCAAGTTTCCACTTGATATGCTTTTCTTTTCCCTAAAGAAATTCTTATTTTATTTATTGTTGTTTAGATTTGCTAGTGACCCATTCTAAAAAAAGTTTTGTTTAAATAAAATGTATTTAAGCCTCCTTTAATTTTGAAGGATATATTATGTCAATATACAATGTTGAGGTAGCAGGTCTTTTCTTCTAGCACTTTCAAAATATTCCATAATATTCTGGCTTGTTTTGTTTCTTATTTTTAAATTTATTTCTCTATTTTTTTTTGTTCATCTCTGGCTTTTACTTGTTTTTACACAATTTGATTTTTTTTTACTTGTTTTTACACAATTTGATAATAATGTACCTTGCCATAGTTTCCCTTGCGTTTAATCTATTCGATGTTCATCGACGTCAAGATTTCTCGTTTTCATCAAATTTGGTAAAAATTTACAATATATCTTTAAGTGCTTTTTTTTTAACACACTCACTGTGACTCAAATTTCACATAGGCAGTCATATGCCACATGTTTTGGTCAATGACAGGCCACACATATGCAGATTGTCCCATAAGATTATAATAGAGATGAAAAATTTTTATCACCTAGTGACATCTTGATGATTCTGATACTGTGTAGGCCTAGGCTAATATGCGTGTTTCTGTCTTAGTTTTTAACAAAAATGTTTAACAAGTAAAAACAAAATTAAAGAAATTTTAAAATTAATAAATGCTTATAGAATAAAGATTTGAAGAAATAAAACATTTTGTCTCATTCTACATGTGTGTTTTAAGTAGTATCGAAGAGTCAAAAATTTAAAAAAATTGAAAAGTTTATAAAGTCAAAATGTTACAGTAAGCTATTGTTAATTTATTATTGAAGAAAACAATATTATTTGCAAATTTATTGTAGCCTGAGTGCACAGTCTTTATACAGCGACAAAATCGCGTAAGGACGCATTTCTCAGAACATATCCCTTCATTAAGCAATGTGTGATTGTATTAAACAGACTAATATGAGATCATTGTTAACTTTTTTCAGTATTTTACTGTCTGTGATTCGTTTTGGATATTTTCTATGTTTTTAAGCTCAAACATCTTTCTTTTTCTTATTCTGTTTTATGTATTATTAATTTCATCAGTTGAGGTTTTCATTTGAGAGATTATATTTTTCATCTGTCATAGGATTTTACAAAATGTTCTATTTGCCTTTCCAACATATTCATGTTTTTGTCCTCCAAATACTTGTGCATGTTTATATTAAATATTAATTCTTTTAGAGTCCTTATTTTAAAATCCCATCAACTCTATCCTCTCTGACCTATTTCTGTTGTCTGATCTTTCTCCTGGTTATGATCCCGTGTTCCTGCTTCATTAACTTTAACACTTGGATTTTATGGTCTTCTTTTAAAGAATATTGAATTTGTTTGGAAAGAGAGTTAAGTAACTCGTGGATCCATTCAATAATTATAAGCTTTGTTTTCAAACTTTGTTAGGGAAGGTTTAAAGTAGCCTTTTCTCCAGGGCTAGTCTAGCTCTGCTAAGACCTGAGTTAGCTGGAGTCCCTGTTGAACAGCCTGGGTGTTTCATGAGGCCTCTCCACAATGATTTACTGGAACTCAAGAGTCTGCCAGGTCTGGGAGGCTCTTACAATTGTTGAGCTCATAGCTCCTCAGAAATAATCTGCCTGGCCTGCTGGATTTCAAATTACACTTGCATAGATACTTCTTTTGTAACAGATTTAAGCAGATCCTTATGCAGATGTCTGAAGCTGCATCTCAGAGTAGCTCCCGCCTTTCCCATATTCTTCCCTATAAATTCAAGCTCCCCCATCCTCAAACTCTGGTCTGTTTGAATCAACTGTGCAATACCAAGACACTTTACTTGGTTCAGTCTTCTCACTTTACTGTCCAGAATGTACTTCCACAGAAGAAGAGCCTAGTTACCTAATTTGATTCCATGTTATTCTGGAATCATAGTTCTATGCTGCATGTAGCCTGATGCCAAAAAACTGCTTTCTTATACATAGTGCCGAGTTTTTATAACAGAAGGTCAATAACATGACCAGAAGTAGAAATCACAGTTAATTGATCTCTATTCACATATTTATTGTTTACTTTTTCCAGACTTTATCTAAAATAATTTTATAATTTTGTATCTCCTTTAGTTAAACAAGGTTGATTTTAAACTTTTCTATTTTTCTGATTTGTGTATTTGTATGTATAAATTTCCCTTTCAGCAACTCCTTTAGCTTAATCTCAAAATGTTATTGTCACCTTTTAATTATCATAAAAAATTTCTCTTTTCTAATTCTTAGAATCATAGGCTATTTTATGTTTGTTGCTTAATTTTCACATATTTAAGCAGTTTCTAATTAACTTTTAATTATTAATTTCTCTTTTAATTCCAATGAAGTGAGAGAAAATACTGAATGATTTCCACTTTTTGTAATAGTTTAATTCCTTTGAAGACCAAGACATATTCTATTTTGTGGCTGTTTTATATTCACCTGAAAAGAATATGTATTCTGCAGTTGTTGTATGTACATTCTAAAAGTATCAATTACATCGTTTATTAATTGCAAATCTCCCATATTCTATTTTTTTGCTTGTTTGCTGCCTTAGTAACTAAAATAAAACAAGTGTTTTAAAAGCTTTGAACATGATTGTAGATTTGTCTATTTCTCCTTCCATTTTGTCCATTATTGTTTAAAGTATTTTAAAGACATTTCACTGAGGACATATAATTTAGGGTTGCCATTTTATCTATTGATTTGTCGTCTTGTATTGCATCTCTGTATTGTCTTGTCTTGTCTTGTTTTGTATCTCTTTATCTCTATGGAATTATGCTGAGTGAAAAAAATGCCAACTGTTACATATTATATAGTTCCATTTACATAACTATCTTGAAACAACAAAATTTAGAAATTGAAGACAGGTTAGTGGTTGCAAGAGAAAGGGTAGGGAGGGATGGAAGAGAATGTAGCTATCATGTAAATATGCAACATGAAGAATCCTGGTTGTGGTACTGCACTATAGTTTTGCAAGATGTTACCACTGGGAGAACCAGGTAAAGAATATTTGAGATCTCTCTGTATCGTTTTTATGACTGCACGTGAATCTACAAATATCTGGAAATAAAAACTTTTTAAAATGCTTCCTAAAATTTTAAGTTAAGTAACAGTGACTTCTCTCTTTAAAATTATATATATATAAAATTTTATATATATATATATAATTTTTTTTTTTGGAGTCTCGCTCTGTCGCCCAGGCTGGAGTGCAGTGGCACAATCTCAGCTCACTGCAAGCTCTGCCTCCCGGGTTCACGCCATTCTCCTGCCTCAGCCTCCCGAGTAGCTGGGACTACAGGTGTCCGCCACCACGCCCGGCTAATTTTTTGTATTTTTAGTAGAGACGGGGTTTCACCATGTTAGGCAAGATGGTCTCGATCTCCTGACTTTGTGATCCACCTGCCCTAGCCTCCCAAAGTGCTGGGATTACAGGCGTGAGCCACCATGCCCGGCCTATTTATATATTTTTATAAAAATTTTTGAAAAGCACATAAAAGCTTTCATGTATATATAGGCTTTTTTAAACATAGCTACTCATAATTTTTCCCTTTTGCAACTATTTTATATTTAAGGATATGAATTATGCTATAAAAAGAAAACCATTTATTTTCCCTTCTCATATCTAACTCTTAACTCAGTTGCTGGCTTAGAATTTAGCCTGGTGTGACTCAGAAGTAATGCATATGATTACTAAAGATTGACAGATGGTCATAAGAAACACAGCAATTTATTGATTTCTAACGGTAGTTAGAAATCCAGTTGTATAGCTAATTACTTGTGATCCAGAAGTGAAAATTGGCCTTTGTCACATAAAATATGTCTTTATGTTATTTTCTATAATCTCTATAATGCAGCATCTAACTGGGTGATATTTGTGCATTAGGAAAATAAAAGAAAATGATTCCTTGGGTATATTTCTATTTGGAGATTATGTACATTTTATAATAGTGATGTATACTGTGAAGGATTCATCAAAACTCTTCCTCTACATCATGGGAACATGGTTACATTACATTTTTCTAGCATCCCTTGTAGTTAGGTCCTATCATATCATCAAGTAAATAAAATGATCGCAGAAGCAATCTGTCACACTTTTTCTTCCTTCATATGTTGCCTGAATGCACAGGATCAGTGTAGGATACAAAAGCCCTAGACACTGGCAGATCCAACAGATGGAAAACAGCCAAGTTCCTGAGTTGCTGGAAGGAAGGGCACCTACTGATTATAAACGTAAGCATGGAATGGGCCTACAATTACTTTTCTTGTTTTAGGTCACCTTTACTTTTATGGTATTTTGTATACCCATCAGTTATACATTAACTACAATTACAATGGATTTTTCACTTTATAAGAAACAGATTTTTTTTTACAAAGTTGTGTCATCTTGCATTTTCACTAACAATGTATGCAATTTCCAGTTTTTTCACATCTTTGACACTGCTTGATATTGTCAGTCTTCTCAATTTTAACAATTCTAGTGAGTAGGCACTCCCAAATTATTGTTACTGTTTAATTTGCATTGTTTTAATAGCAATAATTTTATGAATCTTTTCATGTGTTTCTTTTCTATTTATGTACCTAATTTGTTCCTTTTACTTTATTAGGTTGCTTGTCGTATTACTGAGCTGTAAAAATGTTTTAATATATTTTGCATACAAATTCATTATTGTATATACTTTTTGCCAATATTTTTTCGACTCTGTGATTTGTGTCTTCATTTTCCTATTAGTGTGTTTATTAGAGCAAAGAGTTCTAATTTTCTTGAAACCTTACTATTTTTATTTTATAATTCCATTATTTGTAGCAAAGGAATTTGGCCTAACCTAAAATCACTAAATATTTTTTCTATGTTATTCAAATTTTCATGCTTAAATTTAGCTGTATGATTCATTTGGGTTCATTTTTAATATGATGGGAGTTTTTTTAACTTGGATCTATTTATATATGAGATATTTCTGGACTTTCAATTTAATTCCATTTTTCTATATGCTTATTGCTTATATTTTTTGTCAATATTACACTGTGCTGATTACTATAGTTTTATAAGAAGTTTGAAATTGCGTGGCATAAGTTCTCCATTTTTTTCCTCCTTTGAAAAATTGTTTTGTTTATCCTATGCTCTTCATCTTTTCACATATATAAGTTATTTTATACTTTAAGAAAGCCGGCTGTGATTTTGATTGGGATTTCAAGAAATCTATAGAACATTTTAGGGAGAAATTACATTTTAAACAAACCAAGTCTTCGAGAAATGAGCACAGAGTATTTTCCCATTAACTTAACTCTTCTTTAATTTCTTTGTGCAATGTTTCATAATTTTAAAGGTACTGGTCTTTGATGCTAATTTAAAAGGTATTGTAAATGGTGTTTTCTTTAAACTGAATTTCACTTCTAATATCCCACTTCTAGCTATAAAAATACAATAATTTTTATATATTAATAACTTTTGATACAATATCAAAACTGTATCTTATGCCTTAAGGCAACCCATATTATGCCACCCAATTTCAAACTTCTTATAAAACTATAGTAATCAGCACAGTGTAATATTGACAAAAAATATAAGCAATAAGCATATAGAAAAATGGAATTAAACTGAAAGTCCAGAAATATCTCATATATAATAGATCCAAGTTAAAAAAAAACTCCCACCATATTAAAAATGAACTCAAATGAATCATACAGCTAAATTTAAGCATGAAAATAGCTCTTTTGTGCAGTCCTTAACATTTACTACAGAGATGATTTCTTCTGCAGGTAAAGATAGTTTTCCTCTTTTTTTCTATGTATTTGATTTTTCCCCCTTTCTTTATTGAAATAGTTAATACTTTCTGTACAATGCTAAGTAGAAGCTGTGAGAGGGAACAACTTTATCTTTTTTCCATTTGTGGGAGAGGTATTCGCTTTTTCCCATTTTAGACTCTTAATGTTAGATGTAGGTTTTCTATAAATTCCCTTTACCAATTTGAAGAAGTTAGCAGTTATTTTAGTTTCCTAGAGGATTTTATAAGGAATAGGTGGATTTTGTTGATTAATTTTTCTTTTCAATCTGTTAATATGATGAATTACATGAATTGTTTTTTCCTTGGGGGAAAAATTCACATGGTCATGATGTATTTATCCTTTATATTAAATTTGACATTCCAATTTAATTCAGCTAATTTTGTGCTTTTTAATTAGTTTGTGATCAAAATGTTTTAAAATAAAAATATTCATATTTAACGTTTGCATACCCAAAATATTTCAATCACATATTGGATCAATAAAGTGAGCAAAATATGGTTAAGTAAAGAGAAGCATAGAGAGTGTTTAGTATGTCAGTACATCTAGATTAGAATTCAAATTTCAACATCGTAGCCATAATTTTGTCAACAAAAACAACAATAAGCATAATTAGGCCTCAGAAATAATACTTAGTCCTTCTCTACAAAAGACACCATGAGAGTGAGAGGCACCTGGAGTTTTTCTGAAATAAATTATATAAACTTTTATTACTATTTTTTTTTTCAATTCCAGTGCCAGTGATAATCAGAGAATTTTGGTTTGTGGCCCATGAGATACAATGAGCATAAATGTGTAGGCCCAGCCTATCTAATCAGAGAATCTGACTAAAGAATTTTTCTACTGTAAGTGTAGAGTGGTGGTTTATAATAATCAAAATTACAGCATTTTCTACTTCTCTCAAGAATATTTTTCCAAATGTAATATCCAGTGTTAACTTTTGTAAATCCTTCTAAATTGCTATGAAAAATGTTCACCTTTTTGTCAAATAAGGAACCTGAAGCGTGGATTATGAAATACAGTGCAGCATCTTTCAGCATATCTTTATGATTGCACTTACTACATTGTCTCTACAAATCTCTAAATTTGTATGTCATCCTTATGTGATTGAAAACTCCCCAAGGGCTGGGAACATGCTTTATTTACCTTTGTATTTCATGCACGTAGCACAGTGAATCGACAACCTATAGCTTCTAGAGAGTAAATATATAGGGAACTCTAGAGAAATGAGCTAATTTATTCAAGTTGATGTCTTATGGCCAGCAATATGGTTCTTAATGCAGTAAGATGATTTCTAAGTATTTCAGGCCTGTGCTAAGTAAAACAAAATTTTAAATGAAAGAAAAAATCTCATTATGTTGTCCAGATTTTATTAGGTTGGTGCAAAAGTATTTGTGGTTTTTGCCATTGAAAGTGATGATAAAAAAGGCAATTAGTTTTGCACTAACCGAATAAATCGTCCTTAAAGATAAGATAATCTGTAAAAGCAACTTTTATCATGATATGATATGATACCCCTCTGCCTTAAATTTGTCCTGCCACTGAAGTATTTGTTATGTAAATGATTTGGATAGTTTATTTGAATCTTTTTGCATGAATATATTTTAATCTGCTGAAATTAAATGAGAGTTTTATACATATATTATGAGAATGCTCAAGTGAAACCACAAATTTATAAAAAGGTGTTTTGAAACTGATTAAAATTTCAAGTATTTAATAAAATATATAAACATCTATAGCATTTGTAAGGATCAATATGATTAATGTCTCTTAATTCTTTTTGTACAGATCTAAGTTTAACATTTAAGCCAATTTCTTATCATCATTATTCATAGATAAATATTTTTGTTATTCAAAAAGAATGTTATTTGGGGACCATGAAGTAAATATCATCAATGACTTTTTGTTTCAAATGTTACCTTTTCTATTTTGACCCCAGAGATCATCATGGAAATATTTCATAATATTTTAGGGCCTAGAGATTTACAAATCAAAAAGTTATATTACTTGTGGAAGAGGGAATCCACGAAAAGGTTTATTTTTTTAAGTTATCTGTTACAGATTGTCAATTTGAAAGACCCGAACTGCTTCTTAAGGCATACAGGGGTATAATTGCTTAGAGGTTAAAACATCCAAGATTGGCTGGAAGCACTTCACTGTAGAAAGTAACTTTTGTCTTCACTTAAAAGACCACAAATAGGATGAAATAAATTCAGAAGTGAAGGAGTACTGGCTTAAACAGCACAGCAGTGAAGAGACCTGGGCGGTGGAGTCAGGCTTTGCTGATTTCAATATGTGGACATAGCTGAATTCACAGCAAAACTGGCATGCAACACAGGACATTTTACAACTAGAAAGGAAGGAAAACAGACATTGAGAACCCACAGGGAACAGTAAGGGCTATGTAATTTTAAGCTATTCTCTGCATTGTTTTCCAACTGATAATGGCTTCAAAGTGAAGAATAAAAACTTTCTTAATGAAACCAGGGAGAAAATCCTTGGAAGATAGGTGAATCTGAACTTTATATAAGGGAATTGTTGCAATGTGCGGCCTAGCAGTTTTAGAGTATCTACATTTTATCCACTAGTATCCCTACGTCCTATTTCATAGACTCTCTGCATTAAGACTGATTTTTTTCTTCTACAGGGCAAAAACAAAACAAAACAAAGCTCTACAAAGATCTATAGGAAACCCAAATATATTTTGTTCTTAATTTTTGACTTAATATTATTTCATAGAGTCACAGAATTTCAAAACATAAAGTAATAATAAATATCTTTTAGCCCAACTTTGTTTTACAAATGAGAATAAAGAAACATAAAGCTTACAGGAACCCAAGACTTTCTTCCACAAATCCAATGACTTTTTCCCCTCATTTTTTTCTTTATTTTCTCATTTTCTTCTAATTTAGTATTGTATAGGAAAAATTTTAAATATTATTTGCCACAACACTAAATATTATTTTTCTTAAATAATGTCTTAGATTATTAAATTTTCTATCTCCCCTTTTTTTTCTGCATGGCAAAACCATTCCTTAGTTTTCCTAAGAAGGCCTTGGGGGACAGCAACTCAGTAAAAACAACTATGGCATGTCAAAGGTTCATAATTATAATGGTTTATCCATGCAAACCTACCTTCATAATTTCATTCAGATTGAAATGTTCTTATTTATGTCTGCATAATTATGTAATTTTCTACACAGATCTAATTGCAATCCCAGACACACTTTGATCAAATATCAATTTATATTTAGCCAGAGGAAACAAAACATTCAAACTCTATAAATCATGAGTGCTAGTATGCCATGTGTTTTAGAAATAATACTGGTAAATTACGATTATAAATTCAAAGCCCAATAAATAAACTTCAATATCAATCTCTGAATAATGCAAAATCACCTTTCTTTCCTAAGCAAACAAATGTTTCTCCATCCTAGGACATCCTTTAAATAAAAAGGATGAAAAAACTTACTATAACTCCCTTTTAGATTTCCCCCCTAAGAGATTCATAGCATACAGTTAATTTAGAGGAAATGGATAGTTTTCTAGAAAAATATGAAGAAATAGAAAATTAATAATATGTACTCATTAAATAAATTGAGCCAATAGTGAAAATATCCCACCAAGATATTTATATAAACTTGTCCCACATATTTTATACTTTAATTCTGCCAAACATTCAAGGGATAGAAAGAGAATAGAAGAAAGGATCAATACAACATTTACTTTATATAGTTACTATCTTAACACCGGATTCAGGGAAGAAAAGTACTAGAAAATATATTTAAAAAGCAATCTCTGTCATTCATGAAGACGCTGATATCCTAAATACAATAACAAAGTGATAATTTTAACAATCTAGGATTTATTCCAGTATATAATAGAAACGCAGAACCTTTGAACATATAAAATGAACATTTGGAATATTTACACACACACTTGCACACGCAAATACACATATTTGCAATCTAAAAATAGAAGGATACTGCCTTAACCTTATAAAAGAACATATCAGAAATCTACAAGAAACATGTGCCCAAATTCTACCAACCTGCCAGAGAATTATCACATCCTCTTTGGAAGAATATAATGTTATCCAAAACCTCTACAATTCATAATACCCAAACTTATGTACTCAATAAAAATTATTAGGCATGTCATACAAGACTAAATTATAGACATATCTATATCTGTATTGCTATCTATATGTATCTACTTATCTATAGAGAGAAACCAGACTTCCCCCAAACCCCCAGATATGTTTTTCAGAATTATGGTTAATAGAGTTAAGACATTAAAGAAAACATGAATAATTTTGCCAGGTTACTGGAATTTCTAAAAGCCACTCAGATTTAAATCTTGGAGTTGAAATTATCAGTATTTATAGAAATTCAGTAAGAAAAAGAGAATTAGTGACAATGATATAGACAAGAAAAACTTATCTAGATGGAAACGTGAAGAGAAATAAGGACTGAAAAAAAAAAAACAGAGTAGAACGTATAAGAAATAAAAAGAGCCTAACTTATATGGAAGTAAAGTCACAGAAGTAGAAGAAAAACTTCATGGGAGATAAACAAAACTTCAAAAGATAATGGCTACATAGTTTCAAAAGATGATGATAGATATCAAAGCAAAAAAAATTAAGAAATTAAATCCCAGGTTGGGTAAATTTTATTACATTGTATATGGCTACAGTAGTTATAACAGTATGGTATTGATGCAAGGAGATGAATGGGCAAACATAAAAAATACAAAAATCAGAAACAGCCTGAGACACACGCTGTCAACTGATGTAAACACAGTTACACTGCAATATAATGAAGAAAAGATGGTCCTTTCCCTAAATATTTCTGAACTAATTTATTATCCATATGGAAAATCAGTGAGCTGTGAATACCAACAGCTCCCTGCCTTCTACAGCATATTCCAAAATCATTTTCAAAGGAGCTTGGAGCTAAGTGAGAAAGATAAATGTAAATATTAAACAAACATGTCTTCCAAAAGCTAACATAAGGACTTATTCATGTTACCTTAGAGTAGGTAGCTATTTACTTTTTTGCATGGTATAAATAATTAGCAGTAAAGTGCATGGACCTTAATCACAGTTGAATACATATTTTGTATGAGTATGTACTCTTGTAGTCCTCACCCACACAGGATTAAAGATTTCCAGGAACCAGGCAGATTTCTTCTTATCCTCTCCCACTTAATACCCCACTCCATAACCACTATTCTAACATCTGCAATCATAGTTAAGATTTATTTGTTTGAACTTTATAAATGAAGTTATTCAGAATGGAAGATTCTTCTTATATTTTTGTGATATTTTTCCAATTTAACTCTTTTTTTTTTAAGTTTTTGGAAAGTTGAAAGTTATACGTGAATTTTCTTATTATTTATTTATTTATTTATTTTTTAATTATACTTTAAGTTCTAGGGTATACGTGCACAATGTGCAGGTTTGTTACATATGTATACATGTGCCAGGTTGGTTTGCTGCACCCATTAACTCGTCATTTACATTAGGTATTTCTCCTAATGCTATCCCTCCCCGAGACCTCCACCCCATGACAGGCCCCGGTGTGTGATGTTCCCCGCCTTGTGTTCAAGTGTTCTCATTGTTCAATTCCCATCTATGAGTGAGACTATGTGGTGTCTGATTTTCTGTCCTTGCGATAGTTTGCTCAGAATGATGGTTTCCAGCTTTATCCACTCTTGCAATAGTACCTTATTGTTTGCATTATTCTACTATATCCTTGGTCAATATTTGGTTTATTTCTTATGCAGAATATATAAAGTATTTATGCAGAATATATAGAACATGTAAGAAGACAATGAACAATAAAGATCATTCAAACAATTTTAGTTTTGAATTTGAGATTATCCAATAGTTAATCTCAAGTTAATTTGTGAATAGGGACTCAAGATCATTAAGAAAATGCAAGTATTTAGTGATACCACTACACAAAAAATAGAAAAAAAATTAAGTGATCCCACTAAGTATCGCAGAAGTGCGAGATCAATCACTACTGGAATGTGAATTGGTAAAACCACTTAAGAAAAATATGCCCAAGAAAATTTATAGCACAGTTATTTAAAATTGCCAAGCTTTTAAACAAACAAAATTTGTTAATTATGAGTAATATGAATAATGAATTGTAGTGTATGCAAATGATAAATCCTATATAACAATGGAAAGATAATGATCTGAATCTATATGAGAAAGCATGCATGAATCTCAAAAGAAAAAGAGAAGAGCAAACAACCCTAAACAATGCATCCTATATACCTCACTTTACGAAAAGTTCAAAAACAGGTAAAATTAAACGATGTTTCAAAAAGAGTGGTGGTTACCTTTGTGGGGGTCATGATTTCAATGGAACATTCAAGAGGCCTCTGAGCTCCTGGCAGATTTCTGTATCTTGATTTGTGTGATGGTTACACAGATGGGCAGAAGTTCACACACCAGATATGCATACTTTATACATTGTATGTAACAGATTATACTTCAATAAAAATCTTAAAGTATAAAAATACCAAGGAAAAATTTAAAAAGTATGCTTAATAAACAAGTGAATAAAATAAATGACAGGCTGGGAGAAAATGCCCTCTATTCATGTTTCCACATTACATAAACAACCTGCAATCCTGTAAAAGTAAATGGAAAATGAAAAAATGACATAAATGGAAAATGAACAAATTACATTAAAAAACTTACAAACAAAACTTAATGGTGAATTTGTGGACAAAAAGTTGCTAAACCCACTAGAAATCAGAAAAATTTAAAAAGGGCACATTTCCGCATTTAAACCCAACCCAAAGTGTCTAGTAATAGCACATTATCAGAGTGTAAATTAGCATTGCTTTGAAGAGTAATTTAGCAGTTTCTAATAAAATTGTAAATATACATGCCCCATGGCCAGCAATTCCATTTCTATATCTGGAGATGCATTCAGAATAATAATCAAGAGAATATTTATAAAGTTATTTGTGGAACAATTACCCAACTCAGCAAAAAATCAAAGACATATTAAGTATCAATTTTTAAATGTATAAATAGAGCACATTTTCTGCCTGAGTGTGATTTTAGACAGTAATTAAAAGAATTTTAGTATAGCTATTTATGTCATTTTTTGGTTGAGTTCCAAAATTGTTAATGAATAAAGCAAAAGCCAAATGTGAGGGGTGCTACCATTAATGTGAATGGAAACACACAAAAACATGTAGAAATGAGATTATATACTTTAATAGATAGTCATCAATATGAAAATTTATTTCAAGTATGTTAGAGAGACAAAAGTTAAAAATACCGCAATCTGCATGTTGCTGTATGTGCATATCAATGAGAGGCAAGAGAATAGAATTGGAAATATCAGAAGAAGGAAAAAATCTGAAGCAATCTAAATTAAACAATAAAATAATGACATTGGAAACTCTAGTTCGTGAAGATGGAGTAGCCCCATTCCTCTGAGGTCCTCTGTCTTACAGTTTGAAAAATCCTCAGTTTTTACAACTAAAACAACACAACAACAAGCATAGAAAGAAGCCTCTGTAACATGGAAAGAAGTGGGCCACTTAGGGAATCTCACAACTTTTCTTCTTGGATCTTACTGAATTTTCTTATAATCTCCAATATAAATCCCACCAACAGGCATAGACAAAACAAAAAGCAAAAAAACTGCAAGAAAAGCCTGTCACTGCCTAACCTTTCAAAGGAAAATATTTTTGGCAATACCCAGCCAATACCAATGGAAAAATTGCATCCCCTTGTTTGCAGTTTTAGTGGGTCAAGAGGGGAGCTGGTCTTCCAACCAAACTCCCTGCCTCACGGAAGCAGGCAATGCTCTAATTTGCTTGCTATGTTGTATCTATAGCACCCAATAGTCAGCTGATCTTCCATTCCCCACCATAAGAACCAGGTGGTGTCCTGACTCCCCACTCCTACCCGGTAACAGTGAGATTTAATTTGGTAATGCAAAAAAGAACTAGCCTCCTCTAACTCACACCCAACACACACATGCCAGGTATCAGCAGAGCTGTGTGGGAGCTGAGCCTGTATAATCACCTAACATCGTATAGACTGTACAAGATGGTGCAGGTCAGAGCTAATAAACACTCCACGTTCCCCTTACTCCTGGTGTCAGGAAGGTGCATTATGGGGCTGAACCTCCTCACCCACCTGGCAGGAATAAGACTGAGCAAGGCAAGGTAAAGTAGAGTCAATTGACACTCTTGTTCTATTATCCCTGTTATCAGTGAGACCAAGTGGGGAAGTGAATCTATACCCTACAACCAGCATGAGTGAAGAATAATGAGGTGCTGAGAGGCAGGGCTAGTTGGCACTCCCCTGCACCCTCCCTTCCTCTGGTGTCACTGAGGCCCAGTGGGGAGCTGGGCTTCCTACCCCACCCTAGAGGAACAAAGCAGAATTTGCCAGCCCTCTATTTCCCCACCCCTAGGTATTGGCAATTGGTACCTAACTTTTGCCAGGAAACTGTCAGTAGGGCCAAGAGGCAGTTAGTCTTTGACTTGTGAAAAATAAAACCTAGACACAAAGTTCAAACTATAGGTTTAATAGAATATTAGACACAACAGAAGAATAGTGAACTCAGTCTACAAGTCAGTACAAAATATTCAGACTGAATAATTGAGAAAGAAAAGATTAAAGAATTGTAAAAGAAAAGAGAGGAGTAGAATATAGGCAGAAATTGTACATACATGTAAGTAGAGTCTCAGGAGAGGAAAGAAAGAAGAGATTAAAACAAAATTTGAAATGATACTGGTCAGGAAGTTTCTAAACTGATGAAAGACATTAAGCTATAGATAAAAGATGTTTGGCAAAGATTTTCCTAGGTTAAACAATGAGAAAATTTTATATAATCACCTCATAGTAAAACTGCCAATAACCAAAACAAAGAAAAAATAAATCTTAAAAGAAAACAGAAGAAGGAACACATTTACTTCAAAGTTGATACAGTAAGATTGGCTTCTGAGTTTTCAACTGTTAATGGTGTTAAAAATGATTAAAATAACATTGTGAAACTGTTGCAAAACAACTTTCAACCTAAAAATGATCACAAAATGAAGAAATTTAAAAATGAACAGATAATTAGTCACTTAAGACTCACACAGATATAAAATCACAGGACTGTGCATATGAAAACATGGAAATGCAGGAATAAATGAAAAGCACAAAGTGAATAAATATTGACCATATGAAATGCATATTGACAGTGTAAGAAACAACAATAATATTTTGCAGACTTTAACACACTTACAGCATTAAGATCCCTGTCTGTAAGAATCACAAAGAAGTTCATATAATTTCACTTGAAAAGTTCTGAAAGTTCTTGAATTTTCTAAGCAGTGTTAAAATACTATTTTAAGTGGACTTCAGTAAATCAAGCTTATAATAACCACTTCAATATTTATAAAAAGATACAGAACTAACAACATAAATAAAAAAGAAATGGAAGAAAAATTTACATTAACTCAGAATTCAGCAAGTAAAGAAGAAAAAATAATAGGGCAATTATAATGCAAACAAGAGGTTGGAAGATATAAGTCAAATATGTTAGTGATTATCTTAATGTAAACTGATTGAATAATTTAAAATAAAAATAAATAACACAGGATAAAGCCCCAAACTGCAGACTGCCTTCATGACACATATCTCAAATGAAATGATGAGAAAAGAATAATAATAAAATGACAAAAAAAATTATGTATATATTAACTCCAAAATGTCTGGTATAACTTTACTGATATCAGAAAAAGTACATGTGAAGGACAGAAGCATTGCAAGAGTTAAGTTAAACTTTCATAAATATAACAGAATTAATTATCAAAATGAAATAAAAATAGTAAATTTTATTTACACAATAACGTATTCTATAGATACATAAAACTAGCAAAAATGCACTCTTTAAAAATAAACAGTTTTTCAATTACAGTGATAGATGTTTATATACAACAGCCATTTACTAGCTAAATTTATAAAAACAAAAATCAGTAGAAATAGAGGAAGTTTGAAAAACATGATTAATAAATGTATCTAGTATGAATGGAACATTCATGAGCATTGATTTTATACTAGTCCTCATGGATAAAATTCATTAATATGTTCTGTTTCCAAGAAGAAATTGTCCTGAAAGCTGATAGCAAAAATGATACTTAGAAACTATCCAAATACTTGAAAATCAGGTACTGTGGCAAAATCTATATTGAGAAGAGAATGTGTGGCTTTAAATGTATTTATCGGAAAAACAGAATGGCTGAAAATAAACCAAGATTCTACTCAAGAATCAATTTAAAAGAACATTTAATTTAAAAGGCAATAGAAGGTAAGAGATACTAAAAATTAGGGTAGAAAAAGAACACAAACACACAGTAAAGCAAATCAATAGATACGAAGGTACTTCATGTGGAAAGACTAAATTCATAAATGAGTGTGATCTAAAAAGAGAAACAGATTTCCATTATTATGAATTAAAAAGGAACACTGCCACCATGTCTTACAGAAATTAAAAGTACCAACCTTGTTCTTAAATGTGGGTAAAATGGAGAGATTTATCTAAAAATACAACATACTACACCACCTCAAAAAATTATTAAATCAAGAATAGCATGTTTGTATGGTACTGCATCAATGAAGTGTAAATAAATTGAATTCAAAAATAAAAAGAAAAATCTCATGAAGGAAACATGAAGGCAAGTCCCAAGTTTTGTCCAACATGTAAGATAGAATCAACCTTACAGAAATGTCTTTAGAGAATAGAAAAGGTAGAACTCACTTTTAAATAATTTTTGTCAGAATAATTTTAGTATCAAAACTTGACAAATGATGTCATAAATATATGTGCAAAAATATTAACAAAATATTAGTAAATAAATTCTAGACAAGATATGTCATATCCAATCTATGTGCATGCATATTTAAACATTTGACTTTCAAACAATGGGTTTTACCACATTAAAAGAAATGAGAGAGGAAATCATATTATAGTCATCTCAATAAATTCAAAACATATATTTCTTAAAAGTTAACATCCATCGATAAAGAATACTTTCAGCAAAGTAACAATAGAAAAGAACATCCGTAATCTAATAAAAGTGATGGTCAAAAACATACATCTGACAGCATATCTAATGGTAAAATATTGAGAACTTTCCCTTTGAGATCAGTATCAGGAAAGATCTCTGTTGGAGGTCTCAGTGTGATAAAGCAATAGAAAGGAATACAGAAAAAAAGTAGGAATTGGGAGAGAAGATATGAAGCTATAATTATTTGCAAATGGCATGAGTGTATATGTATATTTTTTAAAAAAGAATCTATATATACAATTCTTTGAGGTAGATATTATTATTACCTGAATTTTTACAGATTAGTGTAGTTAGGCTTGTAAAGTTGAATTATTTTACCCAAAGTGAAATAACTGTTGTCAATGTGCTGTATAAAGCAAACTTAGGCTTTTGGCTGTAGAGCCTTTACTTTTATCTGCTTTGAGTTTTTGTTTTGTTTTTTGTCTTTTTAGGAAGTCACTTTCCTTAACTAAGTCTGTAAATAGGAAAGTGTTCAGCGATGATTATTTTATCTGCTTTGAAATTCAGCATCAAAGAGGAAAAAATTGCCAATTTCTTGGTTTAAGGTTTTATATTCCTCATGAGGAGTATTGTATTCGTGTTCATGCTGCTGATAAAGAAATACCTGAAACTGAGTAATTTATAAAGGAAAGGAGGTTTAATGGACTCACAGATTCACATGGCTAGGGAGACCTCACAATCATGATTGAAGGTGAAAGGTACATCTCACATGGTAACAGACAAGAGAAAATGAGAGAGCCAAGTGAAAGGGGAAACCCTTTCTAAAACACTAGACCTTGTGAGACTTACTCAATACCACAAGAACAGTATGGGGGAAACCGCCACTGAGATTCAATTATCTCCCACTGGGTTCCTCATACAACATGTAGGAATTAATGGGAGCTACAATTCAAGATGAGATTTGGGTGGAGACACAGCCAAACCATATCATTCCGCCCCTGACCCCTCCCAAATGTCACGTCCTCATATTTCAAAAGCAATCATGCCTTCCCAACAGTCCCCCCAAAGTCTTAACTCATTTTAAGCATTAACTCAAAAGTCCAAGTCCAAAATCTCATCTGAGACACGGCCAGTCCCTTCTGCCTAAAAGCCTGTAAAATCAAAAGAAATTAGTTACTTTCTAGATGCAATGGGGGTACAGGTATTGAGTAAATACAGCCATTGCAAGTGGGAGAAATTGGCCAAAACAAAGGGGCTATAGGCCCATGCAAGTCTGAAATCCAGCAGGGCAGTCAAACCTTAAAACTCCAAAATGATCTCCTTTGACTTCATGTCTCACATCCAGGTTACACTGATGCAAGAGGTAGGTTCCCATGGTCTTAGGCAGCTCCACCCCTGTGGCTTTGCAGGATACAGCCTCCCTCCTGGCTGCTTTTGCAGGCTGGCATTGAGTGTCTGCAGCTTTTCCAGGTGCACAGTGCAAGCTGTCAGTGGATCTACCTTTCCGGAGTCTGGAGGACAGTGGCCCTCTTCTCACAGTTCCACTAGGCAGTGCCCCAGTGAGGACTGTGTGTGTGGGCTTTGACCCCATATTTCCCTTCCACACTGCCCAAGCAGAGGTTCTCCATGAGAACTCCACCAGTGCAGCAGACTTCTGCCTGGGCATCCAGGCATTTCCATACACCCTCTGAAATCTAGGCAGAGGTTCCCAAACCTCCATTCTTAACTTCCATGCACCCACAGACTCAATACCACTTGGAAGCTGCCAAGGCTTGGGGCTTGCATCCTTTGATGTAATGGTCTGAACTCTGCATTGGCCCCTTTTAGCCATAGCTGGAGATACTTGGATGCGGGTCACCAAGTCCCTAGGCTGCACAGAGCAGGGGGGCCGTAGTCATGGCCAGTGAGACCATTTTTTTTCTCCTAGGCCTCTGGGCCTGTGATGGTGGGATGGGCTGCTGTGAAGGTCTCTGACAGGCCCTGGAGATATTTTCCCTATTGTCTTGGTGATTAACGCTCAGATCCTCATTACTTATGCAAATTTCTACAGCAAGCTTGAATTTTTCCTCAGAAAATGAGTTTTTCTTTTCTATTGCATCCTCAGGCTGCAAATTTTCTGAACATTTATGCTGTGTTTCCCACTTAAAACTGAATGTTTTTAACAGCACTGAAGTCACCTCTTGAATGCTTTGCTGCTTAGAAATTTCTTCTGCCAGATACCCTAAATTATCTCCCTCAAGTTCAAAGTTCCACAGATCTCTAAGGTGGGGCAAAATGCTGTCCGTATCTTTGCTAAAATATAGCAAGAGTCACCTTTGCTCCAGTTTCCAACAAGTTCCCATCTCCATCTGAGACCACCTCAGCCCGGATTTCATTGTTCATATCATCAGCATTTTGGTCAAAGCCATTCAACAAATCTCTAGGAAGTTCCCGAGTTTCCCACATTTTTCTCTCTTCTTCTGAACCCTCCAAACTCTTTCATCCTCTGCCTGTTAACCAGTTGCAAAGTTGCTTCCACATTTTTGGGTATCTTTACAGCAGCACTCCACTCTGCTGGTACCAATGTACTGTATTAGTTTGTTTTCACACTGCTGATAAAGATATATTCGAGACTGAGTAGTTTATAAAGGAAAAGAAGTTTAATGGACTCACAGTTCCACATGGCTGGGGAGGCCTCACAATCATAGCAGAAGGTGAAAGTCACATTTTACATAGCGGCAAACAAGAGAGAATGAGAGAGCCAAGTGAAAGAGGAGATCCCTTATAAAATCATCAGATCTCGTGATACTTATTCACTATCATGATAACAGTATGGGGGAAACCACCCCTGTGATTCAATTATCTCCCACTTGGTCCCTCCTACAATATGTGCAAATTATGGGAGCTACAATTCAAAATGAGATTTGAGTGGGGACACAGTCAAACCATATCAAGTATAGAGAAGACCAGAGAGTAGAGGTAAAGTGAAGTATATTCTGCTGTTCTGTATGTTTGATCTGTTTTATTAGGAAAACACAAATTAGCCAAATGATATGGTTTGGCTGTGTCCCCACCCAAATCTCATCTTGAATTGTAGCCCCCACAATTCCCAATGTTATGGGAGGGACCTGGTGGGAGGTAATTGAATCATGGGGACAGGTCTTTCTCATGCTTTTCTTATGATAGTCAATAAGCCTCACAATGTCTGATAGTTTTATAAAGGGGAGTTTCCCTGCACAAGCTCTCTTCTCTTGACTGTTGCCACATGAGATGTGGCTTTTGCCTTCCACCATGATTGTGAGGCCTCCCCAGCCACGTGAAACTGTGAGTCCATTAAACCTTTTTTTCCTTATAAATTACCCAGTCTCAAGTGTGTCTTTTTCAGCAGTGTAAAAACATAATGTTTTGAAGTACATATACAGTGTAGAATGGTTAAATCTAGTTAATTAACAAATGTATTACTTCATGTAATTATCAATCATTGATGAGAATACTTAATACCTACTCTCTTCACATTTTTCAGGTATACATTATATCATCATTAACTATAGTCACCACGCTGCTAAAATAGATCACTTGAACCGATTCCTCCTATCTAATTGTAATTATGTACCCTTTGACCAACATCTCCCAACATCCCCACCCTCTACCACCCCAGGCTGTGGTAACCACCATTTTAATCTCTACTTCTATGTGACAAGCTTTTTATATTCCACATATGTGTGAGATCATGTGGTATTTGTCTTTCTGTGCTTGGCTTATTTCACTTAACATCATCCAACATAATGGCATATGTTGTCACATATGAAAAGATTTCCTTTTGAATGCCTGACTAATATTCCTTTGTATGTATTTGCAACATTTTCTTTATTCATTCATTGATGGACTCTTAGTTTGATTACATATCTTGGCTATTGTGAACAGTGCTGCAATAAACATGGAAATGCAGATATCTCTTCCACATACTGATTTCCTTTGGATATATATCCTGTAGTGGGGTTGCTGGATCACTATTTTTAATTTTTTTTTAATTTCCATACTGTTTTTCATAATGGCTGTACTAATTTACCTTCTTACCCAAAGTGTGCTAGGTTTCCTTTTTCTCCATATCCAGTTCAACATTTGCTACCTTTTGTCTTGTTAGTAATAGCCACTTTAACAGGAATGAGGTGACATCTTATTGTGGTTTGATTTGCATTTTCCTGATGATTAGAGATACTGTGCATTTTTTTTCTTAACCTGATGGTCGTTTGTATGTCTTCTTTCAAAAAATGTTGATTCAGGTCTCTTGATCATTTTAAAATTAGGTTGTTCATTTTCTTGCTATAGAGTTGTTTGAGTTCCTTATCTATTTTGGTTATTAACCCCCTGTTGGATATGTAGATGGTAAATGTTTCCCCTCTCCCATTTTGTAGCTCCCGTCTTCAGTCTGTTCATTTCCTTTGCTAGGCAGAAATTTTTTAGTTTCATGTAATTCCATTTGTCTATTTTTGGTTTTGATGCCTGTGCTTTTGAAGTCATATCCAAAAAATCATTGCCCACTCATTTCTTTTTATTAATTTGTTGATTTCCCTAGTGTTTGAAAGCTTTTGCCTATGTGTAAGATTCGCTATTATAATTAACATGTTTCTTTTTTTCCCAGCAAGTTTTGTAGGTTTAGGTAGTTAGAATATTATGTTGATTCTCAGAGCAAAGCTTTAAATTTAATTGTTCAAAAAAATAGAGCTACATATTTATTTACATAACAAAGCATTTTTAAATTTCTCATGGGGATGTGTTTTCAATATATGTTCTTAAGAGTGTTACAAAGCATGGTGGATATTTAAGATACTACCTTAAGTGATGTGCTGTATTTTCCCCTCCCTATCAGCTGACCAACTAACTGAGCTATGCATTTGAATATGAGCTGACAACCTGTAAGTAAGGTGGACTGGCATGCAGCATTTATTCCAGCCTTCAACAGTATATGTGTCTGTACTACAGAATACATTTCTCAGACTCTCTACAGATACCAATTTATACAAATACACTTTCTAACATTAAGATAGTCTGTATTCTGTATTTAAGTACCCTTTGGAAGATTTGATAGAAACATAAACTACACATTCAGCTTTTCTTGCTGTTTCTGGAAGTAGGATTTTTTATGGATGTGCTTTGTTTTTCTGCGATGGCTTCTTGATCATGACAGTTTTCTGATCATAGACAGCACAGTGTTTTCCTTAATATTCTAGTTCTGCCATGTAGCTCTGAAGTCACTTCTGATATCTCAAACTAGATGCTGTCTCTTCATCGTTCCAAGAAATTCTGTAAGACATTTACCACCCTTTAGGAAGTCTCTTTCTCCTTGAGTGAGCTACTAGTGTTTAGTTCTTTAATTCTTCCAGATTCACCATCTCATAGTGTCTAAAAATGACACTAAAATTTGAAAAGAGATCGAACTAAAATTTATATTTATGGTGAAACACTAACACCAGTAAATCAGAAACATTTTCTCTAGATATAGGAAGACATCACATTTCACTGTCTTTCTAAGCCATTGAATAGTAGATTTAACATTAGGTTCAGCAAGATGTTCTGATCATAAGAAACCAAAAGGAACTTACACTCACTGATGACACAAAAACGTCATGTCCACTCCCTTCAACTCACTTGAAAACACACACTGGTCAAGCAGAAAAATGGGCAGTTTCTCTGGCCCTATTAAAATTCTCCCTCAATATGTATAAGAAAATTGTAGCTCTGGTGCCAATTTATTGCATATATTAAAAAAAACTATGGAGGTTTCAAAAATTATTAAACACTAACCTGTCTAAAACAAAAACATTTTTAGGCAAGAAATTAGAGAGAATAAATCCTTGTGATGTTCTATTTTTATAATCCTTTAACCAGATTCTATGTTTATATATTATTCTGTTTATATATTTCTAATGAAACTCGGGAAAAATAAACAGGCTACTTATTCATTTGTCTTCCATTTTTCTTATAAATAATCAAATATAGGCCTTTTGGGAGATTTCAATGGAAAAATTAAGAAAGGAAGGAAGGGAGGAAGGAGGGAGTGAGAGGGAGAGGAAGGAAGGAAGGAGAAATGAAGGAAATAAAGAAGAATTATTCTATAATAAGTTTTTGCTCTGTCAACATTTCTGATGAGCAAAATCAATAGTCTGTTCTATATTTCTCTAACAGATATAGCTGTTTCCTTATTGATTATACATACTCTTTTTCCTTACATCTGTACTACAACTTTGGGACCTCAATTTTGTGTCATTCTTCTAGCTAATTGCACAAGAAACTAGGATATATGTGAAAATCACAAAATTTCCCAAGCAAAATATTGAATTTCAACGTAAGTTGGCCCCTTAGAACCTCTTGAGATCCTTTCCATTTTCAAGTTTTATTTTTCTTTATACAAACAAAATATATAGTTCTTATTTCATAATAACCTTCCAAGGCTACTAAACTAGATATTTTATGTATTTAAAATATATAATTGGATGCTTCACACATGATTTTGTTTTAAAAGTCGGTTTAATTAAAAATGTTGACCAACTATTTGTTAAACCAAAACAATAATCCGAGATGACCCCTTGGCCTCACCTCACCTGTGGCAGAGAGCAGCCGATCATCTGTGGCACAGATTTCTGCCCAAACTCTTCCAGATCTCATTTCCCTTTCCTGTATGCCGGCTTCTGCTCAGCTCATCATTGACTTTCCCAAAACCTCATTATAAGTCTGTAAGTCATCTATTATGGTATTAAAACAACAGGAGTGCCAGGCACAGTGGCTCATACCTGTAATCCCAGCACTTTGGGAGGCCTAGGTGGGCAGAACACTTGAGGTCAATAGTTCAAGACCAGCCTGGCCAACATGGTGAAACCCCGTCTCTTTTAAAAATACAAAAATTAGCCAGGAGTGGTGGCACGTGCTTGTAATCCTAGCTACTCGGGAGGCTGAGGCAGGAGAATCACTGGAACCAGGGAGGCAGAGGTTGCAGTGCGCCGAGATCGTGCCACTGCATTCCAGCCTGGGTAACAGAGTGACTCCATCTCAAAAAAAATGTAAAATTAAAGAAATAAAAAACAGGATTGTATTTTATATTCAACATTCTCAGAAGAATACTGGGAAATTTTATTTTAGACAATCTTACTGCCTAGTTACAGAAACTGATATTTTAAAATGAGAGCTTTGCAGACTTTATTGAAATACTAATGACTTTTTTATGGCTGATTAGTATTTCACTGTATTATATTATTTATCCAACCATCCACTGATGGACGCTTTGGTTGATACCACATATCTGCTATTGTAAATAGGGCTGTGATAAACATACATGTGTAGGTATCCTTCTGATATAATTTATTTTCCTAATTTTTATGAGACCCAACAGACATAAATTATTCTGCTACACTATTATAAGAGTTTCTAAATGTTTACTCTCAATTTTTTAACTCTTCCTTTTGTAGAAAAGGAAAGAAAGAAAGAAAAAAAAAAAACCTGTGGACCCACATCATTTTAAGGACCACACTTTGAATAGCATGACCTTATTTCTCTTAGGTCATTAAGAGGCACCAGTACTTTTTAACAGTGACCTGAGTATTTAACTGCATTGAAGAAAATTCCCAGATTTGGTGTAGGTACAGAACAATATTTGTATGCTGGTCATAATTACTCAAAGTAATTGTTCCTAAAGTCTTGCTTCAATATATCCATATTATCTACTGTCCAAAATTGATATACTGAAATAAGAAAATTTCAAAAAATATTAGTTATATTATTTCTGTGTAACTCTCATATTCTTATATTAATACATACATATAATCATATATTTATGGTAATTAGAAATATTCGGGCATTTTGTGTAAAAATTAAATCCACATCTGGCAATTGTTATAGCACAATTTACTTTTCCTGCCATTGTACTTATTAATTAAAATATCATATTACCTTTATGTAAGAGATATCACAGACTTTTTATATGGCATGAATTTCTCTTATACTTATTTTTTGATCATCATTGGTTATACACCATTACACTTTGCAATTTTGTTTTATTTGATTTTCTTGTATGTATCACTTAGTCCCTAACTCTGTATACAATTATGCTTTTTCTTTGTGCTTTAAAATGACTTACAAACAATGATTAGAAAATAATTCTAAGAGAAATTTTAAAAACCAAATGTAAGTCATTTTAGAAATACAAAGCATAAACTGTAAACCAAATGAAACCAAGTTGTAAATTATAAAGGTATACAAACTATTGCAAGAATATGATGTATCAAAAGGATAATGTATATATAAAGCACATAAAATTTAGAAGAAATTTTCATAAAGTAAGTGAAAAAATATAACTGCACATTAAAATACAATTGGGAAAAACTGATCTAGGAAGACAAAAGTTAAGATTAAAATAATTTCTTTATATAGAAAATTACTCTATAGTTTTCTTCTCTTTTTTAATGTCTGGTTTTGGTTGCAGAGTAATACTGGCATTATAGAAAAAGTTGGACAGTATTATCTCCTCTTCTAGTTTTTGAAGAGTTGGAGAATGATTGGTGTTAATTTCTCTTTAAACTTTTGGTATAATCCACCAGTGAAGTGATCTGGTCTTGTATTTTCTTTATCTTTTGTTTTTTTGCGAGAATTAAAAAATATCCGATTCAGTCTCTTTACTTATAGGTCTATGTAGATTTTCTATTTCTTCTTGAGTCAGGTTCAATATTTTGTGTGTTCCTTGGAATTTGTACTTTTTAGTTAGGCTGTTTAATTCTTTGGCATACAGTTGTTCATAGCAGTTTTTAAAAATTCTGTAATGTTAATAGCAATACCCCTTGTTTTATTTCTGATTTTTGTTCTGTGAGTTGATGCTATTTTAAATGGTAATCTTTCAAAACTTAATTTTTAAATTGTAATTGTCTCATGTATGCAATTGATTTTGTAAATTAATAAAATTTCCAGCAACTTTTTCAAACTCTCTTGTTAAATCTAATGCTTTATATGTGTATTCTTTTGTATTTTCTACAGACACGTTCGTATGTACAGTTTTGTTTCTTATTTTTTTCTCTTTTTACTTCGTGTTTAGAACTTCCAGTACAATGATGAATAGAATTGGTAAGGGGCATTTTTGTCTTTTTTCTGATGTCAAAGGTGCTAGCTTTATTCTTCATTTGTGAAAATTTTATAAGAATAACTATGACTGTAGTGATTTTTGTTATAATAATAGTCAGTAATCATGGTTAGATATTGAAGGTTATCAGATTGAAAAGAAAGAGCTAAAAGATAAAGTTTGTTGTGGTAGGTGGCTTCTAGAATGGTACCCAGGGATATCCAGCTCCTGATAGTCAGCACCTCATATAATCCCTTGAGCTTGGTCTGGATCCAAGGAACAGAATATGGAAAGTTTGATAGGAGGTCTTTCATTCAAGATTAGTTTACTTCCAACCTGCCCTCCCTCTGTGGCTCTCTCTCTCTCAGAGCTCTTGTTACCTGCCATGTCGTGAGCTACTTTATGGAAATATCTGGTTGTCAACTTGTTGTGGAGGGAAAAGTGAGTGAGTTAAAGATATTTATGAACTCTGGATAGTGGTCAATAGCTTTCTGCTTAATCACGGGCCTGGAAAAAAGAAGACTGAATTATTGGTGACTATGAAATCAGGGGCAAGAGTCAGGTGGATTTACCTACAGAAGTAGGGAAATATATATGATGGATTGAGTCTCATGTCCATGCTTACCAGAGACCATCCACAAGAGAGAATTCCCAGAACAACTAGGTTGATAGAATAATTCATCTAGTGCATGTTACCACACCTCTGCTTATGGCTACCCTAGGCCTTGTGTAATGGCCCCATAACTGAAATAGCTACATCCATGTGGGGTCAAGCTGTCAGCAGCAGAGACCAATGCTGAGCCCTTAAAATAGCAGAAAGAGTCTAATGAACCAATCAATTAAAAGTTGATTGCATTGGAAATTTTTCATTTCTTTTTTTTTTTTGAGGTGAAGTCTCGCTCTGTTGCCCAGGCTGGAGTGCAGCGGTGCCATCTCGGCTCACCGCAACCTCCGCCTCCTGGGTTCAAGTGATTCTCCTGCCTCAGCCTCCTGAGTAGCTGGGACTACAGGCACACACCACCATGTCCAATTAATTTTTGTATTTTTAGTAGAGACGGGGTTTCACCATGTTGGCTAGGCTGGTCTCAAATTCCTGACCTCATGATCTGCCCACATCGGCCTCCCAAAGTGCTGGGATTACAGGCATGAGCCACTGTGCCCAGCCGAAAATATTTATTTTAAATATGGAAACAATTCATCTTTTCTTGGATTATTTTTTCTATCCTTAGTATGTACAATATTTGCTTTTTTACTTATAGTGGCTCAGTCAGTGCAATTACCCAAGTATCCTACTTCTTATCATTCAATGTATATTCAATGAATATACACAGAATTTTCTGGTTTCACCTAACAGGCAGCCAACTTAATATAATACTAGAAAGTTCATTTAAGATACCAGTTGTGGAATGACACCCTGTAGATTTAGGATACTGCTTTTCAAAAAGTGGTTTATACATCGTATCAATGACCATTAGCTAAAATTCATGGGTCTTGAATCCAAGAGGTGGAAGTAAGAATGGGCTCTTCTCATTCACACTCCCAGTGAATCATTTGGGGAATTTGTTCTTTACAAATCTATAATTTTAGGTTCTGCTGTTTCCCAAACGGGTCCTCTGCCAATGGACAGGCTAAGGAGACTGTTATGTCTAAAGTGTCCTTCTCATGCAGTTATTTTGTGCTCCTCATGGCTGTAGGACAATAGGCAAAAAAGCAGTTTCTATACTGATGGTATACTCTACCTTGATAGGGTAGTTATAATAAATTGTTGTTATTACAACCCTATCAAGGTAGAGTATACCATCAGTATAAGGTACAAAAAGAGTGTTTCTGCAACTTGAACAGAAAATAGCAGCTACCAAGTTACTACAATGCAGGATAACAAAGGGCATAAACCACCAGGGAAGAAGATCTAGGTTACCCCATTAAACAAGTAACTTACACCAGCGTATATGCCAATGATAAGGGGGATATAGAATACATTGTAGAGGAAGGGTAATAATAAACATTACTTACGATCACCTTTAATAGTAGGACAGTAGCTTCTTCCACTCATCTTACTATTGCTATTAATTATTTTTAATTGTTTCCCGTCACACCTTGGAAAATCAATGACAGGACAGAATATCCCTAATGTGGGGCTTGAATGAACTGGGTGGTGTATGGGGAGAATCGTAGCTGACACCATCAGTGTCCTGCTATGGCTTTCACTGTCCCTACATGTGAAAGGCTGCTTCTTACAATCATTTGTGATTCACTGCTGCAAGAATTTTATCCAGCTACATGGAGATACTTTGTATCTGCACAGGGCAACCTGAAAGTGCCAACAATTTAGTGCTCCCAGAAGTGGTCTTAAAGCCTGGATAAACAGGGATTTGCTGCATCAATGTGCCAGTCTTTTCATCCCTTGGTTGGGGATGCTGCAAAGCATGTTCCACACTGTCTCCCAGAGCTGACCAGCTTCATTGAGCTCCAGTTGCCCAGGGTTGTGACTGTCTTAGTAAAACACCCTTTACTGGCTTCTTTCTCTTTCCTGACTGAAAGTGTTTTCTGGGATAATCTACCAAATATATTTCCATGCAATTAAATCCCTTTTTTAGAGTTAGTATTTAGGTGACCCAAAATTAAGAGACATCTATCTCAAATCCCTAAAAGTCTATGAGTTAGAACTGAACAGAAGTTAAACTTTTCTTTTTCACATTGCAATTGCTATTTGAATATGAATGGGAGGGCAGAACATTGCACACTTGCTTTAATATTGTTCTCTTTCAGCAATCATGCAATTTATTGTTTGGATATAATTATATAAACATGAAATTAGCCTTCATTCAGACATCATACACGTCGGTTATATTTTGCCAATATGAAAATATGTCTTAAATTTTGTTTATAGCTATTATTCTGTTTTTTTCATTATTAAACTATTAAAAACTAACAGCTCATACCTATTCCAACATTTGAGCCTTGCAAGGGTACATTTTTTTATGGCCCTTGTATCTTTCCACTTACCTCAATATGATATGATAAGCTTTTAAAAATTAACTAATGGTCAAATTGCAATGATTTCTAATCAATTTCATAGGAAGTAGCTTGGGGTAGTAGACTTGACAGTGATACCTGATTTATAATAAATCACTGTTTACTGATAATTTTTGAAAGCATTATTACCCAATTTTCTTAATTTAACCCCCTTGGAAAATTCTACAGCAAGTTTATCTCTCTTGCATCAGTTTGCTGAGTTTTTCATTTCTTATGCTTACTTATTTACCCATATGATTTTTGAAAAATAATATTATAGCAAGGTCTAAAATATTGGATTCAAATCAATCAGTATCTTGGTGATAAAATATAATTTATTTTATTTAAGCAATGCTTGAAGAAGACATACATGATACAGAGTTCTCTTCTAGGAGGTGAATACTGTGAAGGAGTTTAATATAATAGGACCTAGACATTTGCAGTGATAGATGGCCAGCTCATGTTTTCAAAATCAATTGCCCACCCAGAGATAGCGCATCCAGGTTAGGTAGAGTAAGTGATGAGAATCAAGCATCTCTATCACCACACTTCTCAAAATCTCTGAGCCTGAAAAGTGCAAGTCAATATCCACATAATAAAAGTCAAATGAGTTTGGTGCTCTTTAACATAGCATATCAGATACTGAAAATACCCAGATAAGATCATGAAAATATCACCAAGAAAGAAACAAGGAAATGAGTTATTTACAGAAACCAGAAGGGAATTACTACTGGTAATAGGAAAGTAATGTATGGAAGCCTATAACATAAAGGAAAAGTACATTCAATGAAATAACGGCTATGAGGTTCTTCCATTAGTTAGCAGGCAATTCCAGATTTGGAGGCTAGGAGGCAGTTGTGATCAGGGGCCTGATTACATCAAGTGATTTAGTGTCTTCTTCAAGAGCTTGCTACAACTCAGACATTTCGACATTAAATCCAGGACTATTTCCTGTAAGTAGTGCTTCTATGTGTTCAATATTGTTTAATATCTATAAGAAATTTTGCACCTACTGCTTCATCAAAGATTTTATTTTCTAAGGAGAGAGTAATCAAGGAAGGTTGCATAAAGAAAAGAACTACTGAATTAACTTTTGAAAATCCGGGAGACATTAGCAAGTATTTTTCCTGATAAATATTATCTTGGGGAAAATTTTATTTGATTTTGAAAAATGTTTTTGTTGAAGTATATTCATTTAACTAAAAATTCACAAAATATAAATATACACCATAATTAACTATGACAGAGTAGTCCACTCACACTGCCACACACATCAAAAATTTGCATATTGCCATACCCTAGAGCTGCCTTCTCTAAATTTTTTCTTTCTTCCTTCACAAAAGTAACAACTATTCTAATATCAAACACCACAGATTGATTTTGCCTGTTTATTTTTCTTATTTATTAATTTATAAAAATTGAATTAAGAAGTACATATTATTTTATGCTGATTTCTTTTACTCATCATAATGTTTGTGAAATTCATATTTGAATGCAGCAGTAGTTTCCTCATTTTCACTGCTCTATAATATAGCAAGTCTTTAATTAACATAGTTGATAGGATCTTGGAAACTGTAACTTTAAGCAAAATGTTGTGTAATGAAACCAATTTTATCATAGACTAATTGATATAAATTGAGTTAAGTTCCTACATCATATTTCTGGTCACAAATACATTGTCAAACTTCTAAATAAAGACCAAACATACTTGGAATCCTCTTTAACATGCTTGCAAATAGTGCATAATGTGAATTTAATCATGAGGAAACATCAGAGAAATTCACATTGAAATAAATGTCAGCTATATGAAATAAATGTCAGAGCCCATTTGGCAGCTCAGGGCACCAAATGGGAACTAGCCCTGGACAGGATGTCATTCCATCGCAAGGTGAACTCATACCCACTCTCACTCAGGCTGTTACCATGTAGACACACTTGTTAACCTCACGTGCACCTTTTTGGGATGTAGGAGGAAAGCAGGGTACCCAGGAAAACCCAGAATGACATGGGGAGAAACTTCAAACTCCACACAGACAATGATCACAGCCAGAAATTATTTTTTCCCCTCATCAATGTTATAATAAAAAGATAATGGATGAAATGACGTTATTGGATGACCTACTGTAGTCCACCATCCACTTATATTGTTCATCCTTTCTATTTTAGGTAGACACTTTAACTGTTTGTAGATTATACCAATTTAAATAATGCTGTAAACATCCTTATACATGCATGTTGAATCAAATATGTATGTGTTAACCTGTTGGATTCATGCTTAAAAGTAAAGTTGTTACATATTTTGTTATGAGCATATTTGAATTAAATAGAGATGTAAAACAGGTTCCAAAAGTGTATTAATTTGCATTTCTACTACCAGAGCAAAAAAATGTTAACTGTGTCCTCATCCTTGCCAAAATGTGACATTGTCAGTAATTTTAAATTGTGCCTGTTTCAGGAGTGTGAAACATAATTTGTTTTGGCTTAATTTGCATTTCTCTGATTATTCAAGAAATTGAGCAAATTAGTATTATCTTTTCTGAAGTGCCTGTTCAAATCTTTGCCCATTTTTATATTGAGTTGTCTGTCTTTCTTAGTCCAGCTGCTTGTTTCTTGTTGTTGTTGCTCTTGTTGTTGGCTTTTCTTAATGTCCAGTGAGCTAACAACGTTTTTTACATTTTTAAATGTCTACATTTGAATGGCTGTATAAGTACCTATATAAGGTCCATGGTTTTGTATCTTGACCCAAAACATAAAATATTTATTCTCTTACCATGTAAGAAAATATTTGCCAGTCCTAAAACTGGAAGCTGGTGTTATTCCCAAGTTAAGACTTATTTATTTTTCCCAATTGTCATCCAATTGACCTAGCAATATTTACTGAAAGGACTGCCATTTTCCTTCTGCTTTTTACTCTCATATTTTCAGAAGTCAAATCTAGAGTTTGTATACATGCTGCTTTGTCTTCTAATTCCTATAGTTTGATTTATCTATTTGTGACAATACCACACCATACTAATTGATATCATTGTAATTGATAACATCTGGTAGAAAGCATCTTCAACTTTTAAAATTTTCTTCAAGGTTGTTTTGGCAGTACATGGTCCTTTGAATTTTGATAACAAAATGTATACTTTATATATTTGACAAATTTTGCTAGGGTTTTGATGAGGATCATACTGAATTCATAGATCATTTTGAGAAAACCAATGCCTCTGTAATATTGAAACATCTAATTCAGATACATGATTCATTGCTTTATCTAGGTTTTCTTTATTTTTTCTCAAAATTGTTTATGTTTTTGTTATGTTTATTCTTGTACAACTCTTGTGTTTGTAAATAACTTTTTTAAAAAATATATTTTGTAATTGTTTCCCAATGGTGAATATTATTTATTTTTGGTTATATAGCTTGGTTTCAGCAAACTTGCTAAATCCATTTTTTACACTTAATAGTTTCTATTACATTATTTTGACTTTTCTATGTATGTAACTACATTATCCATGAAAATGACAATATTAATGATTCCTTTTCATTCTTAAGTTTTTTCTTTTGTTTTTCATTGCATTGGCAGATACCTAATGTCAATATTCAATACATATGGTAGTAATGTCCTTCATTATCTTAGTCTTCAACTCAGAGGGAAAAACTTTTTTATTTTTTAAAGAGCAGATACACTATTTACTTTGTTTTTTTTTTTTTTGCAATAACCTCTACTGAACTAAAGATATTTCCTTTATTAATTCTCAACAGCTTGAACTATCAGTGAAGATGGATTTGGATTTATTCTCAGACTCATGGGACACAATAGACTTCACTCATTATCAAGCTTAAATAGCTTTAACAAACAGTAAGAAGACGCAATACACAATGCATAGTAATAATATAGTAGAGCACTTGATTCCCGTGTGAAGTTTCTGATGTCCCAAATTCTTTCATATCTAGGGACTGTTTTGCCCACATAGATGACACTAAGGGGGTGTAGATCACCACAGCTCAGGAAAGGCATTGGATCTGCAGGCTCTTTAGCTTTTTTCCGTTACTAAACAGATAGAACCCACACAGATATGTTACTTGTTTCTGTTTTCTGTGCCGTTGCATCTCATCAATTATGGGTTACTCAAAAAACAATTTCAGTCAATGCATGGCAAACTCATCAGGACCTTCATTTAATTTCCATCCAAATCATTCCTTAAGTTACTTTTGATGGAGGAATTCTCTGAATCTAGAGGAAAAGGTCGTGGAAAGGCTATTAATGATTGCCTCTCTCCCTATATTCTTAATTTTTATAAAGAGTTCTGAACCTAAATGGATAACAAATTTCACCAAATACTTTCTAAAAATCTTATTGACATAATCATAAATTTTTATACTCCATTTTTCCACTCTAGTGATTTACTTTGAAGGATTCTTATATTCCAAACCCAGTTTGTCCTAGTGAAATAAATTCAAATTAGTTATAATGTATTATTCTTTTTCATGTATTTCTGAATTTTTGCTAATATTTTGTGAAGGACTTTGCATTAATGTTTTTGAAAGAGTCTAGCTTAGATTTTTACTTGTTATTTATTTGTCATGTTTTGGTATTTTGGTCTCATTAAGTTGAATGGGAAATCGGGCTTACACAAAGGGTTTACTTGTCAACATGGAATTATGTGAATTACAGATCTGACCTGAATCCTAATGTCATTATTGGTTCCAAAAATATTGTCAAACATGAGGCATATATTAAACATTCGAGTTGTCCAAATTGTTTGACCTAGCTCCTCAAAATTTCCCTTTTATATTAGGATATGTTTTGATTATGGAATAACCAGTTTTGAATAATATGAGTATGGGGAAACATTACTCATGAAAGGAAGCTATTTTAGTATAATAATACTTTCTATTTATAATCAGTAATTCCATGACCATTGTCATTTTTCTCCTGGCCTTGCCGCATAAACCTAAAATACATATAGGACATTTATGATTAGACTATAAACATAGAAAATTAGAAGTCATAGAAAATGGAAAGAAATCATTAAAAATTACTAAAAGAAGATACATAGTCATGTATTCAAAGGCTAATCCTTGTTAATTATGCTCTCCAATTTCATCAAGATTCTGTGCAACCCAAATGAAAACTCCATCATGCTTTTTGTAGATATTGACAACTATATTTTAAAATTTGTATGAAAAAGTAAGTGAACTAGAAAAGCTAAATAATTTGAAAATGGAAAAATGAAGATGGAGGATTCTCCTATCTTCATTTCAAGACTTAACATAAAGCTACAGTAATCAAGAAGGCATAGTACTGGTGGAAAGATAGATATATAGATAATATAAGGCTAGAAATAGATCTGAGGAAATACAGTCTACTGATTTTTTACAAAGACGCAAAGATAACTAAACAGAATGGACAAGCTTTTGAACAACAGTACTAGAAAAAAAAATCCATGGTATATATTTTACACAAAAAATGAAAATCTGAAAATGGATCATAGATGAAATTGTGAAATATAAAATATAAAACTTCTGAAAGAGAAAATCTACATGACTTTGGATGTAGCAACAAGGTTTTAATTATGACATCAATATACCATCCATGAAAGAAACAAAAATTGATAAATAGGATTTATAAACAATGACATCTTCTGCCTTGCAAAAGACTGTTAAGAGAATAAGTGCACAATCAACAGATATGGAGAAATATCTTCAAATTATACCTGATAAAAGCCTTATATCTGGATTGCATAAAGAATTCTTAAATCTGAACAATAAAACAAAAACAAGCAACCCAATAAAAATAGGCAAAAGATAGATACTTCATAAGAGAAGATATGCAGATTCCAATACGTTTATAAAATGATTCCCAACTTTATTAGGCATTAAGAAAATTCATATAAAGACTCAAATAAGACCCCACTACACACTTATGAGACTCTGGTTGGAGGTGCGTTAAAATACCAAATGCTCCTGAGGACAAGGCATAGTGGAAATTCTTTCTCTGATGGTGAAAATGCCAAATGATATAGCCACTCCAGCGGACACTTTGGCAGTTTTTATAACGCTAACCACAAAATTTTCAATCAACCTAGCAAATGAATGCTTGAGTTTTATCCATGAGAACTAAAAATTTATGTTTATACAAGGATCAATATTTGAATGTTTATAGCAGCTTTATTCATCATCAAGATAAAAAACAACCCAGAAGTCCTTCAGTGAGTGAGTGGACACAAATAAACTGTGGAATATCCATGCAATGGAACACTACTCATAAATTTTTAAAAAGAGAAAGCTCTTGCCTCACACAGCAACACATATGAATCTTAAATGCATATTTGATAAGTTAAAGAAATGAGACTGAAAAGAGCTATATTACACAACCCCCTTTATATGACATTCTGAAAAAGACAAAATGTAGTGATGGAAAAGACATGAGTATTTGCTAGAGTTTGAGAGATATGGGAGAGATTTAGTATAAAGCTGCCACACAAAAGAACCATTGATAAGATATTGTATTAGTCTGTTCTCACGCTGCTATAAGGAAGTATCTGAGAATGGGTAATTTACAAAGGAAAGAGATTTAATTGACTCATAGTTCAGTATGGCAAGGGAAGCCTCAGGAAACTTACAATCATGGCGGAAGGGGAAGAAAACACATCCTTCTTTACAGGCTGGCAGGAAGGAGAAGCATAGAGCCAAGCAAAAGGGAAGCCCCTTAGAAAACCATTAGATTTTTTCTTTTTTTTTTTGACAGAATGTCACTCTGTCACCCAGGCTGGAGTGTAGCAGCATGATCTTGGCTCACTGCAACCTCTACCTCCCAGGTTCAAGTGACTCTCCTGCCGCACCCTCCCAGGTAGCTGAAATTACAGGCATGCACCACCATGCCCAGCTAATTTTTGTATTTTTAGTAGAGATGGGGTTTCACCATGTTGGCCAGGCTGGTCCTGAACTCCTGGCCTCAAATGATCCACCTGCCTTGGCCTCCCAAAATGCTGGGATTACAAGCATGAGCAACCACCCTCAGCCAAACCATCGGATCTTGTGAGAATTTACTCACTATCCTGAGAATAGCATAGGGGAAACCATCCCCATGATTCAACCACTTCCCACTGGGTCCCTCCTACAACATGTGGGGATTATGGGAAATACAATTCAAGATGAGATTTGGGTGGGGACATAGCCAAATCATATCAGAAATGACAGCATATCTTATAGAATGGTAAGATATTTGGTAACATATGAAAAGAGATGAAGATTATGGATGCACAATTATGCATTTTTCAACCCAATAACACTCAAAACTTCCAAGGCCTGATTTTACTGTATGCAAACAGTACCAACAACCAAAGCAGGACGTCAGGGAATCCCTGGATGCAATACAGCTGTGTCTAATGAGTCTAACTGTATTACAAGGGTATGACATAACCTCATTGAAGGGGTGGAGGGAACAAGAACTGAAATACGTAAATCTGAAAAATAGTGTTGTGACTAGATATAGTAATGCTAAAAACAAAGAGAACTGAACTGCATTTTAACATTATGCTCTGCTTGGCAAATTTGTTTCTCACAAGGATATAGGTTAGCTGTGGTCAAACTACTTTACAAAATATAGAAGTGTGTGTCTGAATGGGCCAGTGCATATATTTTCTCTCTCTGTCTGCTAGAGTGCCTAAAAGGTGAGCCATCTAAGTGGCCTCAAGCATATGCAGAGTCTAGATGTTGATTTCTTTTTTTTCTATAATATTTATATTATAATATTTATTTTTTACAGGAAGATACACTATCTTCTATTTTAATATTTAAAAGCAATAAAACAACATGTTATTTTGTTGGTAGTACAGTATTTGCTATTATTGAAGCTAATGATCATGTCTTTAAGAATGGACCAGAAATCAGTCAGCTATAAGAAGAGATCTGGTTGGTGCTTGTATGGTGGGAAGGGTGTTGGGTGTTAGAAGTGAGTTATAAAATGGGCAGTGTGATACAGAAAAATGATGCAGGTGTATATTGCTGTATTTTGGGCATTTGAGTACTGGCCTTATTTTTTGCTAGATATTGGTTTCTAAACACCATTCATAGAGGAAACAAACTGGAATGCCTGGCCAAAGGACTGATTCTAGAGCTGGGACAAGGAAAAATGAGATGAGGCTGCAGAATTTTATAGTGCTAGGAAATACAGAAGTGCTCAAAAACAAATGAATGCCGAATTTCAGAAGACACAGGATCCAATAGAAAAGGGATTCTCATGGCTAAAACTAAAGAATTTGAGTAACAAAATAAAAATTGTATTGGATTATACCACAAAAAATGAAATAGATATTAGAGTCAATAATGACACAAATCAATGAATAAACAAAGAAGGGAAAATATTCCTTACAAATAAAATCCAAATATACACAGTAATTTCACAGTGGAGAAGGCTGGCATACAGCTAATAACCTTAAATAAGTGATCAAAATTAACACTACAGGTAAGTGGACAATAGAAAACATGTGCCTTCTGATCTGATGCACTGAGAAATACTTAGCATCTTCTCTGGCATGCTTGCAAAAAGTGGATAAAGTGAATTTAATCATGAGAAAAGATCAGAAAAATTCACGTGGAAGGTCATTTTATAAAATAACCAGTGCTGTTCAATAATTTCAATGTCATGAAACACAAAGACTGGAACCATTTTTGATTGAAGGGAATAAAGAGAGATTACAAGTGTATGCAATGTATGAACTTGTATTTTCTTTTACTCTAAGGAACATTCCTGGGAAAACTGGACAAATCAGAGTAAACTCCATAGATTCGGTAATAATACATTACCAATATTCATCTGTAGATTTTGATAATTGTAATTTCTTTGCAGAAGGGAATGACTTATTCTTAGTAAATACCCAATGAAGCATTTAGCATATATAGGCTTCATGGTTTCAGTTTATTATGTGGTAATTTAGAAAAAATAAATTTTATATGAGAGTTGCAAATACAAAGAGAGATACAGAGAGAGAAAGAATTTTGTAGAGAGGTTTAGAAATAAACTCTAGGAATGGAAAAATACAACCTGAAAACCAGCATGAATACTTTCATTTTACTCAAAATAAAATAAAATAAAATAAAATAAAATAAAATAGTTTATTCTATTTTAGCACACCTAATTTTTAAATATCATTCTTAATGAGTCTGTTTTGTTTTTTCCCTATAAATTCGCACATTTCACCTAATTTTCGAGATGTATTTGGCAATAATTATTTCTAATTGTTATTTTAATTTCAACTGTATCTAATAATGGAATAACTTTGAAGTCTCAACAGTGTTTATTAGATCATGTCACAATACACTACATTATCTTATTTTGGGATCAATGATTTGAATCTCAATTTATGATCTCCTGCATTGGAAAGATCACACCTGTATACTGACTTCATCAGCATTTAACACAGAAAAGCCTTTAATAAATTATGTTTGATGATTATGTCATTAAGGAGAATGGTTTTCTCTATTTTATGTGACTTAGACTATTGATGGATTGTGTTCCCTGGAATATAAATTCCTGTGCCTAATCAGCACAATTTCAGAAATATGATCTTCAAGTCAAAGGTGAATGTACAAAGCTCTTTGACATATTTCACAGATATAGCAAAATTACTCACAATATATTATTTTTAATGTCATTATTTTTGAGAAGTTTAACATTTGTAAAAATATTAATTGACATAAAAACCAAATAAAATATTCATTATAGTTTTTTAAATCACTGATCACAAGCATTATTTTCATTTTGTTGCAAATTAGAGTATGCTGAACATTTTTTATTTTTCTGAAACTTTGGAAGTTTGAGGATTTATTTAGAAAATTATAGTATCTTAATAATTTCTGAAAATTATAGTGTTCCTCTGTCCTGAATAGATTATATCAAACATGTAACATACAATTCTATAATTGTTTTAAATATATATATATAGTTTAATTGAAATGGGTCAGCACAACAAATAATTAATATTTGAAAGGGTTGCATGCTCTGTTCTGGGGACAGGAAGAGTAGCCATCTCTAAGTGTTTGGAGGGTTAATGAGTATAGGAGAAAACTGTTTAATTTTTGTTTATTCCATACACTATTTTTGAAAACCAATATACAGTCAACCAAGTATAGTTACAAATTATATTTAACAGAAAAATGTTTGAAGAGTGTTTTCTAACAGTTGAATAGATCTTGAATGTTAAGAAAATCATGTGTGTCTGCGTGTGTGTATGTGTATGTGTGTGTGTGTGTGTGTGTGTGTGTAAGACCGAGAGAGAGAGAGATTGTTATTGAATTAGGAATTTAACAACTCTAGCCAGAATTTTGCTTACTCAGTAGAATGATGAAGCATGGTGCCTTTGTTTTGTGCTACTGTAAGAAGATATCAGAGACTGGGAAATTTATAATAAAGAGAAAGGTGTTGTTCATGGTTCCGGAGGCTGAGAATTCCAATATCAAAGTGCGGGCATCTGGCAAGGGCTTTAGTTGCTGCATCATCCCATGTCAGAAGTTGGGAGGGCAAGGGCAGGCATGAAAGACTGTAAGAGGGAGCCAAACTCCTCCTTTTTAAGGAACTTGCTCCAGGGATAAATAACCCGCTCCCACGGTCACAGCATTAATCCATTCATGGCGTCAGAGCCTTCATGACATAATCACCTCCTAAAAATCCTACCTCTCAGCATTGTTGCATTGGGGATTAAGTTTCCAACACATGACATTTGAGGCACATATTCAAACTATCATTTTTGGATTTTATTTCTCCAGTTACTCGCAATGTACCCCGACTAACATAGATATTGAAGGAGAGACAGTCATGGAGGTTCCTGGCTTCACTACCTTATTACAACCAGGACAGCTCCATTTTGGTTGTTTATATATTAGAACTTTACACAATATTTAATATGAACAAAAGGTGTTTTTGCTAATTTATTTTTTTTTAATTTTGTTTGAATTATTTTCTAGTTGGTACCCAGTTGGACATTTCCTTCTTGGTTTACTTTCAGCTGTTTTAAGTGAACTGGATTGGCATAACTTGCTCAGCAGTTTTGGGTACTAACTCGCTGGTTGGAGGGTTCTGAGATGACAGGGTAGAAAACATTCATTCATTCATTCATTCATTCATTCACCAAATACTTTGGTGGCATTTACCGTGCACCAAGAGCTGTTCTATGTGCTCAATATGTTAGCAAATGAAAAAAACAAAGCCTTTGCCTTCGTGAAACATTTTTTTTTGCATGTGTGAAAAGATAATAGAAATATGAATAGATACAAAGTCTACTACAATATAAGTCTGTGAGAAGTGCTCTTGAAAGATAAGGAGTGACATGGGCTACATATTTGATATTATGATGGCCCCTTAGATAAAGTGATGTTTGACAAGATGTAAGGCTTATGCAACATGAAGGATATCAGACTTACCAATATCTGAAGAAAGGTTTTTCTAGCTGCAAAATACAATACATATAAAAGGCTTTAAAGTAGGAGCTTTCTTAATTGGTTTGGGGAAAGCCTGGTAAACATTGGTATTTTGCTTGATTGTAATTAACCTACATAAAGCAGATATTGTGTTAATACATCCAATATAGTTAAATTTTCACATACACTATGATGTTGCAAATAATCTGTATTATAAGTTTAATAGGTTTTTCGATGTTAAAATTCTTTATTTTCCAAGAACAGTAAAGAACAATAAAGACTATGTGATAAATAGGCCGGGTGCCGTGGCTCACACCTGTAATCTCAGCACTTTGGGAGGCCAAGGCGGGCAGATCACTTAAGGTCAGGAGTTTGAGACCAGCCTGACCAACATGGCAAAACCCTGTCTTTACAAAAAAAATAAAAATACGAAAATTAGCCGTGCATGGTGGCCTGTGTCTGTAGTCCCAGCTACTTGGGAGGCTGAGGCAGAATTGCATGAACCCAGGAGGTGGATTTTACAGTGAGCCCAGATCACACCACTGCTCTCCAGCCTGGGCAACAGAGTGAGACTCTGTCTCAAAAAAAAAAAAAAAGATTATATAATAAATATTGAAAGTTTTATTTGCACACTACAAAACAACATGTCAGCACACATAGAAGTCAGTTAATTCAATCAAACTGGTCAATCAGAAAAAAATTTTGCCAATCGTTGTACTAACTTTGTTACTCGGTGGGAATAACTGATCTATTTCATAGCTTAAAAGTAAATTTTTTCTTTATAATAAGTTTACATAGTATATATAGTAATTTATTTATATAGTAATTTAGTAATTATAATTTCTTTACAAATAATAATATATAGTAATTTATTCATAAATTAGGCACAATAAGAGATTAACAACAATAACTAATCTAGTCGACCCATGAATAACAACATGGGTTTGAACTGCGGGGGTCTACTTACACATAGATTTTTTTCAACAAATATATTTAAAACATTTTGGAGATTTGTGCTAACTTGAAAAAACTTACACATAAAGCATGCAGCCTAGAAACATTAAAAAAAAAGAAATTTTAGGTGCATCATGAATGCATAAAATATATGTATATAATTGTTTAATCACTTATTACCATAAAATATACGCAAATCTATTTTAAAAAGTTAAAATGTATCAAAACATAGGCACACAAATACTGACTACACATGACACCATTGACAGTAGGGAGAAATGTAAACCAAAGTAAAGAAACAGTATTATAACTGCAAAAATAGTAACTGTGCTACATACTGTACTCCTGTAATAATTTTGCTCAAGTGTTGCAAATATCTGTATGTGCTATTAATCATCTGTGTATGCAGCACTATTTTCAATAACAAAGACTTGGAACCAACACAAATATCCATCAATGATAGACTGGATAAAGAAAATGTGGCACATGTACAAGATGGAATACTATGCAGCCATAAAAAAGAATGAGTTCATGTCCCTTGCAGGGACATGGATGAAGCTGGAAACCATCATTCTCAGCAAACTAACACAGGAACAGAAAGCCAAACACCACATGTTCTCACTCATACGTGGGAGGTGAACAATGAGAATACAAGGACAGAGGGAGGGGAATATCACACACTGGGGCCTGTCGGGGGATGTGGGTAAGTTGGGGGAGAGTATTAAGACAAATACCTGATTCATGCGGGGCTTGAAACCTTGATGTCAGGTTGATGGGTGCAGCAAACCACTATAGCACATGTATACCTATGTAATAGACCTGCATGTTCTGCACATGTATTCCAGAACTTAAAGTAAAATAAATTTTAAAAAATCATCTGTGCATGAGCAGTTCATCTCTCCAGTAAATTGTGTATTAAGTAAAAACTGATCTCTCACAGTTCTTGCATTTCTTTCACAGTGCTTAGTGCAATAGTGCTTAGTGCAATACCATAATCCTCGAATAACACCATGGGATCCGTGTGAAGTGCCACTAGTTTTTGCTGGAAGTGCTCCCAAGAAACAGAAAAGTCATGACATTATGAGAAAAAGTTGAATTGCCTGATATGTACCATAGATTAAGATCTGAGGCTGTGGTTAGTTGTCATTTCAGGCAGATGATCCATTTTGTAAACAGATGAAGTAAACTTACAATATCAATAAATACAGTGCACTATTAGAAATGTATTTCTCTTCCTTACGATTTTTAATAACATTTTCTTTTCTCTAGCTTATTTATGTAAGAACACAGTATAAAATACATATAACATACAAAATATGTGTTAATCAACTGTTTATTTTGGTAAGGGTTCCAGTCAAGAGTAGGCTATTAGTAGTTAAGGTTTTGGAAAATCAAAACACGTGGATTTTTGACTGTGCAGGAGGTTGGCGACCCTAACCCCTGTATTGCTCAAGGGTCAAATGTAATAAAATAGAACAATTATAACAATATGCCTGTATCACTACTCTTTTGCTTTGGGGCTGCTATTAAGGAAAATAAGGGTGACTCCAGCATAAGCCCTGGAATACTGAAACAGCCGATCTGATAACCTAGATTGCTATTAAGTGATTAATGGGTGGTAGCATCCACAGCTTTGAAATGCTGGATAAAGGAATAATGTAGGTCCTGGGTGAGACAAAGCAGGATGCCCCAGATTTCATCATGCTACTCAAAGAGGCACAACATTGAAAACCTATGAATTGTTTATTTCTGGAATTTTCCATTTAATATTTTCAGACTGCAGGTAACTAAAATCACAGAAAGATAAACCGTAGATAAGTGGGGACTACTGTATTACTCAGAAGTATCACAGTCTATTCCATTGTTTTCCTATGGGCATGTGACATGTTTCAAGACTTTTGCTATTACCAGCTGTATTGCAGAGAATATCTTTGTGTCTTCTTCATTTCATATTATGCCAGTAATTTTGCAATAGATAGCTAGAAATGGATCTTTTTTGTCAAAAGGAAAAAATTGATAGATAATTCTGCTAGAAATGACTAAACTCCTTCGGAGGAGTTCTTACATGTTGCATGCTTACCAGAGATATATAAGGATGCTATTTATCCATAGCCTCACCGACAGTATATATTTTCAAAATGTCAGATTTTTAATACTCCAAAGTAAGGAATGGCAGTTTTAACTTGCATATGCCTTACTATGAATGTGGCTAAGTGTATTTTCCCATGTTTGAGCATCATTTGTATTTCTTCTCCTGTGACTTGTTGCAGATCTTTTTTCTATATATTTTTGGGGGACTGGTGCTTTTGTTCTCAATTTTTAGAAAATCTATTAGTCAGGGCACTCGGAAAAATATAAATGACAGTAGATACTGCCACAAAGGGAATTAAGTATAAAGAAATACCTAAACAGATATTGATGTAATGCAGCAAATAGTTATACTAAGGTACTACAGATGGTAACTACAACAACTAATTGCTACCACTAGGGCTGGGAAAACAAAAGCAACAGTTTGGAATTATGAGAAGCCAGAGGTTTTGAAGAAAGGCAATGTAGAGCAGCAATTCAGACCTCCGCCGACAATTCAGACCTATGAGTCTGTTGATAGGCGCAGTCAGTCTTCTTTTGGTACTTCTGAGGGTGAAAGTGTTTCTGGGAGTGCTCTGATCCTATCCGGAACTAATCGCCCCTGCTGGGGCAACATTTGCAGAAACATGGTAAATATGAAAGAGCGAGTTCCTTCTTTCTTGTTCCTCTCTTCTATCTCTATCTCTTGCTCTGTTGACCCGACCTGCTAGAAAGACACCTGGAAAAGTCAGGAAAAACATTTGTAGAATCTTAGCACTAGCCTAAAGAACACTATAAATAGATTTGGAGTAAAGAGATGATAGCTTAATAACTATCAGAATTTCTCTCTGTTAGATACGTTAGCCCTTTTCTATGACAAGTTTCAAAATCACTTTCCCCAGTTTATCATTTGCCCTTTATTTCACTTACCACTATGCAAACTCTTAATTCTTAAGATTTATCTATAAATGTTTACCCTATTGTCCTAGATTTTTATTTCATTGTCATAAAAAGTATCCACTACCAGATTATAATGGAATTCGCTCATGTTTACCTTCAGTATTCACATGGTAAAATTTTTATTTACTTGCTAATATTGGTGTGTTTTTTTATTTGTATACATTCATGGAGTACAAGTGTAATTTTGTTATATGCATAGATCACATAGCAGTGAAATCAGGGCTTTTGAGGTATCCATCACTCAAATTACATAATTGAGATTTACCCATCTAATGGATTTTTAAGTGTATAATACAGTTTGTTAACTACAGGTGCAATGTTGTACACCACTCTAGAATTTATTCACCTTGTATAATTGAAATCTTATACCTTTAGATTAACAATTCCTCATTCCCCTTCAAGGCCCTGGGAACCCCCATTCCATTCTCTGCTTCTGTGGGTTTGATTGTTTTAAATAGCTTACATAAGTGGGGTCATACAGTATCTGTCTTACTGTGACTGACTTATTTCACTTAGCATGATATCCTCCAGCTTCATCCATGTTGTTGCATGTTGCAAGATTTCCTTCTTTTCTAAGGCTGAATAATATTGCATTGTAGACATATAGCACATTTTCTTCAGCCATTCATCTGCTGATGAACATTTAGATTTTTTCCAATTTATTGGCTATTGTGACTAGTGCGTGCTTCAGTGGACATGGGGATGCTAATGTCTCTTCAAGATCCTGATTTTTGTATAAATATCCAAAAGTGGGATTGCCAGATCATATGGTATTTCTATCTTTAATGTTAAACAAAATCTCCAGATGGTTGTTTGCAACTGCTGAATTTTGCATTCTCCACAGCAGTGTACAAGGGCCCCAATTTCTCTACATCATCACCAATATTTGTCTTTTCTTTTTCTTTTTGTGTTGTCATTAATAATAGCCATCCTAAGAGATGTGAGGTGATATTTCATTGCGGTTTTGCTTTGCATTTCCCTGAGGGTTAGTGAACATGAGCATCTTTTCTTGTACCTGTTTGCCATTTGTAGGTTTTCTTTGAAGAAATGTCTATTAAACTACTTAGTCCATTTTTAACTGGGTTGTTTTTTGTAGATATTGAGTTATAGGAGTTTCTTATACATTTGGAAATTAACCCCTTCCTAAATATGTGGTTTGCAGACCTGTGCAGATTTTTAGACTGATGTACTGCCATTTGTCTGTCTTGGCTTATGTTGCCTTAGCTTGTCTATGAAAGCTATATTATTTCTATAAAATTATTATCAAGACCAATGTCATGAAGATTTTCCCCCATTTTTTCTAGGAATTTCATAGTTTCAGGCCTTGTATTTAAGTCTTTAGTCTATTTTGTATTGTTTATTGTGTGTAGCAGAAGGTAAGAGTACCTGATTCTTTCGAAGGTGAATATTCAGTTTTTTCCGATACCATTTGTTGAAGAAACTATCCTGCCCCCATTGTGTATTTTTGGCACTCTTGCTGAACATGAGTTGACCCTATATGTGCGCATTTATTTCTAGGCTCTTTATTGTATCCCATTGGTCTATATATCTGTCTGTATCCTGTTTTAATTACTGTAGCTTTGTAATATATTTTTAAATAACAAAGTGTGATACCTCCAGGCATATTTTTCTTTCTCAATATTGTTTTGTCTATTCAGGGTCCTTTTTTTCATCATATGAATTTTAAAATTTTATTTTTTTATTTCTGTAAAAATAACATTGGTATTTTGGTAGGAACTGTATTGAATCTGCAGATTGTTCTGGGTTGTATGAACAGTTAACAATATTAAGTCTTCCAAAACATGAACATGGAGTATTTTTCCATTTGTTTGTGTCTCTTTAATATTTTTCATCAGTATTTTATACTGTTTAGCCTACAGGTCCTTCAAGACCTTCATTCAATTTATTACTAGGCTTTTTATTTTCTTTTGATGCCACTATAAATGTGATTATTTTCTTAATGTCTTTCTCAGCTTTTTCATTATTAGTATTAAAAAATGCAACTGATTTTTATATCTGGATTTTGTATGTGCAACTTTATTAAATTGTCTATTAGTAATAATAATTTTTGTGTGTAGAGTCTTTAGGATAAGATCATGTCATCTCTAAACAAGACAGTTTTATTTTTTCATTTCCAGTTCGAATGCCTTTTATTTCTTTTACTTGCCTAATTGTTCTGGCTAGGACTTCCAGTACTATGTAGAATAGAAGTGACATGAGTTGACATCCTTGTCTTGTTTCTGATCTTAGAGGAAAAGATTTTAGTTTTTCACTACTGAATATGATATTACTTTATCCTTATTTAGTTCTCTGAACTTCTGGGATCTGTGCTTTGGAATCTGTTCTTCATTTGAAAAGTTCTTGGTTGTCATCACTACAAATTTTTTTTTTAATTCCACTGATTTTTATTCCGACTCCATTTTCCTTTTCTTCTCATTCTGACACAGAATTCTATTGTCTGTGTGTGATATCTTTTGAAATCATCTCAGTTATTGGACACTACGGGTTTTTTACCCCCTCTATTTGGATTTTAATTCAGGAAATTTCTGTTGAACTATCTTGCTGTTCACTGATTCTTTCCTTGGACTTTTAGTCTATTGCTGAGCCTGTCAAAGTCATTCTTCAACTTTGTTATTATGTTTTAATTGTTAACATTTCCTTTCAAATCTTTTTTTAGCACTTCTACTTGTTTACATTACTTATCTTTTCTATGCTGTCTGTGTTTGCCATTAGATCTCTGAACACTTTAATTGTATTTATTTCAAATTCCCTGCCTGTTAATTCCAAAATCTGTGTCATGTGTGTGTTTTCTCTGATGTGTGTTTTGTTTCTTCTTCCTTTTTTATTTTTATTTTTGAAAGCTGGATGTATTTCATCAAGTAATAGGTAACCAGGTAAATAGATCTTTAATGTGATCATTTATATTAATCTGGCTTGGAATTTGGCTGTGTTTAATGTTGTACATATGGGAACCAGAGACTTCAAATTCTTCTAGTATTCTTGCTTTAGTCTCTCCTTTTATTTTTATTACTCCAGACTGAAAGACGGTCTGTACGTTTTAGATCTTTTTAAATTTCCCTCAGTAGTATAATATCAGAGGTTTGTTGGTGTCCTGGTAGCATGTGGGAAAGGGGCTGTCCTATAATTTGCTTAAGTCAGTCCTTAGTGGTACTGTGTCTCTAGGGCGTGGCCTTCACAAGTCTCTCAGACTCTCATCCTGGAGTTTAGTTTATTCCCCCTGCCTCTACTTTCTTCTCTGGCTGCAGTATTCCCAGGCTGTTTCTCTGAAGCCCACTCCACTGCGGATTTCACTTGTGTCTTTGTTTTTCCCATAAAGAGATAAGTGAGATAAGAGCTGGGGTGGTGGGGTGGAGGGGGGTGCGGTGCCGAGGAATTACCTTGCCCCATCTGGGAAAACATTCTGAATTCCCTTCTGTTTAATTTCTTTCCTCTGGAAACTAGATCTTTTTTAGTGAGAAGAGTCTGAGTGGGTTTCAAGATGGCTGCCCTCTCCCTGCCCCAGCTAGGGTCATGAAAGGATCTTTCTCAGATCTCACCATGACACTCCGATAGGATTCCCATAATAAAATCACTATGAATGTGGCGTTTCAGAGTTTCCCACCAACATGCTAGTCCACTGTCACCCTTCAGCAATTTGCCAAGATGTCCATTCAATTCTCCCTACCAGTTTATGGATTCCAGCTGTTTCTGCTTTCAGTAGGCAAATCTCAGATCTGTATCTATCAATGTGTCACTGTCTCCAGATTTTGAGGTAGCACTTGCCCTGTAACCTCAGTTCTCTGTTGAGCCTAAGAAAAGTTGTGGATTTTTAGTTTATCAGTCTTTTGCTCTTGAAAGATTAGGATGATGACTCCTAGGCTCTTTACATGCCAGAGCTGAAACTGGAAGTCTCAGTTTGTTTTTTTTTTTAATTTTTAATTTTACTTCTTATTACAGTAAGATATTTATTTATTGGTTTAATTTTTGTAATTTCAACATTTATTTTAAACTCAAAGAATACAAGTGCAGGTTAGATACATGGGTATATAGTGCAGATGCTAAGGTTTGGAATATGAATAATCTGGTCACCCAGGTACTAAGCATAGTGACCAACAGTTAGTTTTTCAATCCTATGCCCCCTCCCTCCCTTCCCCCTCTAGTAGTCCGCAGTGTCTATTGTTGCCATCGTATGTCTGTGAGTACACAATGTTTAGCTTCTGCTAATAAATGAGGAACATGCAGTGTTTAGTTTTCTATTTCTGTGTTAATTCACTTAGGATAATGGCCTCTAGCTGCATTCGCATTGCTGCAAAAAACATGATTTTATTCTTTTTATTTAATGGCTACATTAAAAGCATCTAGTAATCCAACATCCAATAATTCTGGAAGAGTCTAATTTCTTTTTGCTTTTTTCCCCATCTATTTGCTCTTCCACCGTTGTTTCATTTTATTTTTGTGTGGATTACAGAAAGTCTTGCCACTGGACTCATGACCTCCTCTCTTCTACCTTTGCCATTGTCCTCCCAAATTTTTGCTGCACAGATATTTCTGAAATACACATTTTGTTCAAGTCATTTTATACTGCGACTTGCTCATATGGTAAAGTTAAATCTTTGCTAGCTCCTTCAAAGGCCCCCATGATATCGTCGTGATGGGCTTCCGTAGCCTGTTTTCTCCGCACTCAAGCCACGGCTTTTGATTTTTTAGCCACACTGAACTGCTTTCAGTTCCTCAGAAAGGCCTGCTTTTCACACCTTCTTTCTTTTTCCTTCTATCTATATGTTTATTGTCTATTTTAGCTCTAAAAGTTTTTGACCTAGCTCAGCTCATTTTTTTCCATGAAGCTTTTCATAAAACAATCATTCTATTTATCTAGGAAGAAGCAAGCATTCAAACAGTTGCATTAGATATAGTACTTTCGAGGTACTTTCATCATAGCACCTACAACACTTTGAATTCTTTATTTTCATATTTGTCTCACCTTTTCAGCCTGTCAGCCCCTTGAAGATTCAGCTGTGTCTATTTCATTTACATAACAACTTGATTTTAACGTATCAGTCAGTAATATGTACTCAGTAAACATTTTTGAATTTGTAAGAAAAATAATATATTGCTATCTTATCAGTCAGTAATATGTACTCAGTAAACATTTTTGAATTTGTAAGAAAAATAATATATTGCTATCTTAAATGTGTTTCATAATTTAGACTCAAAGTATTTAGCTACACATTCCTGAGTTTTCTTAAATTACAGAATGTATATTTCACCTGCTATGTTTTCGGAATTTAATAAACATGCTTCTGAAAACATTCTTATTGAGAAAAAATGTCCTATTTTCGACTGAGAGGACAAAAGATATGCCATTTCTTTAAGAAATTTCTCACTCAATAGCTGAAAATGAAAGGACTCTTTCGAGTGGTTACAGGAAAATGACAAAAGGAAGGAAAGCATGCTTTGCTACGTTAATGATTTGTTCTTTCTAGAAGACTACCGTTATTGACCTTTCCAAATATAGCACTCAATACTTGGATCATTTTATCAAAAATCCAATAACAGTGGGTTTTCCTTTTTTCCAGAAATTTTTATGTGACTAGAAGTCATGATGAATTGAAGGAAAAATAATCTTTTTATTATTAACCTTAAAATGATATGACTGCAAAATTTTCACTCAGACTGTTTTATTAACAAGGCATTTATCTGAGCTATAATACTAGGCAGCCTCTTGGGGGCATACATATGGTGTGGTATAGCAGTTAGCCAAACTCTATGGCAAGTTTGATTTGATTGGCCTAAAGGCCTATGTGGCTTCTAGAACAACTTCAATCATCTTTAAAAGAGGTTAAAGGAAAAGAATCAAATCTGAAAAAAAAAAAAAAAAGCAAAGAGCAAGACAGAAAGGAACTTGTTATATTAACAGATCTGGAGGGATAATTAAATACAAATATTCTTTGGAATAAAGCATTTTGCCGGAAGATACTATTTATTACTATTTATAGAAGAAGTGGATTACCTCTTAGTGTCATTGCAACTAATTGAAGAATAATATGAGTGTTTGTTTATGTTCTAGGGGAAAAAGAAGGTTAAGGGCAGTGATCAGTAGCCACTCTCTTCTATCCCTGATTCTCTTTGTTGTTTCTCTCATCACTTTTGTGGAGGAAATCCAGAGATGCTTAACCTGCAGCAGATCTCATAGAGAGATTCCACCTAAGATCTATTTATCACCAGCAGAAATGTTCTCCTTTGCAGAAATATGAAAAACTAAAAATCTGAGTGTTTAAAAATACTTTTATATGCTCAATGAAATTTTTCAGGAGAAAAGAAAGTTGTGAGGAAGACAGTGTCACAGAGCTATATTTGATTTTACTTGACCACTAACTGTATCAGTTTTGTAAAAGTAGTTTTTTTGTTCTTGCGATAGTTTACTGAGAATGATGGTTTCCAATTTCATCCATGTCCCTACAAAGGACATGAACTCATCATTTTTTATGGCTGCATAGTATTCCATGGTGTATATGTGCCACATTTTCTTAATCCAGTCTATCATTGTTGGACATTTGGGTTGGTTCCAAGTCTTTGCTATTGTGAATAGTGCCGCAATAAACATACGTGTGCATGTGTCTTTATAGCAGCATGATTTATAGTCCTTTGGGTATATACCCAGTAATGGGATGGCTGGGTCAAATGGTATTTCTAGTTCTAGATCCCTGAGGAATCGCCACACTGACTTCCACAATGGTTGAACTAGTTTACAGTCCCACCAACAGTGTAAAAGTGTTCCTATTTCTCCACATCCTCTCCAGCACCTGTTGTTTCCTGACTTTTTAATGATTGCCATTCTAACTGGTGTGAGATGATATCTCATAGTGGTTTTGATTTGCATTTCTCTGATGGCCAGTGATGATGAGCATTTCTTCATGTGTTTTTTGGCTGCATAAATGTCTTCTTTTGAGAAGTGTCTGTTCATGTCCTTCGCCCACTTTTTGATGGGGTTGTTTGTTTTTTTCTTGTAAATTTGTTTGAGTTCATTGTAGATTCTGGATATTAGCCCTCATAGGTGGGAATTGAACAATGAGATCACATGGACACAGGAAGGGGAATATCACACTCTGGGGACTGTGGTGGGGTCGGGGGAGGGGGGAGGGATAGCATTGGGAGATATACCTAATGCTAGATGACACGTTAGTGGGTGCAGCGCACCAGCATGGCACATGTATACATATGTAACTAACCTGCACAATGTGCACATGTACCCTAAAACTTAGAGTATGATAACAAAAAAAAAAACATTAAAAAAAAAAAAAAAAAGAAACACCCTCTAAAAAAAAAAAAAAAAAAAACTAGTTTTTTTAATATAAAAAGCATATATAGGCAGAATATAAAATATAACAGATAGAACGGCGGAATATAACATATAAGAATGTAAATTAGTTTATTTTTCCCAATATAAGAGATGTAAATATCCATAGAATGTTATGAGGTAGTTCTGGGAATATACAAAATAGGCACATTTAAAGTTGGCATGCCAATATTTCAAAATAGAAAGTGATATTGACAGCAATCACTGTTTCAGAAGTTGAATAATGTATTTAATGGAACATATAAAAGTTATTTGTGTTGCCCATTAAAATGCATCTTCAATGTAATTATTTAATCCACATTAATAAAAATATTGACATTCTTATACCTTGATCCATGCAGCGATCTTCCTCTTCTCCAGAGTTCTGTGACTTGAAAGCTCATTATGCTTAATTGTCATTAACAAAAATAGTAATAACAATAAATCACAGTTTTCTGAGTGGTTACCCTGGCCCAGGCTGTATGATAAGTGACTTACAGACATTATTTCCTTTAATTCTCAAAACTACTATAAATTACACATTGAACATTTTACAGTTTTATGAAATTGATCTTTATAAGGATTTGCCTGCAACCACTCACATAGTTGACAAATAAAGCAAAATCATAGCTGCATTTTAGTAATTCCAAAGCTCAGTCTTATATTCATGTGGCTTAATAATAATTGATGTTTACTATGATAAATTTAGGTGATTCCAGGGCCCCTAATTGCTCATAAATCCAAAAGTGTCCAATTATGCATAGTAGCATTTTGGGATTAAGTGAATTGTTCTGTATCTCATTTAATATTAGATGTTGATTAAATTGTTTCCATGTTTAATTATTTCTTTACTGAGGTAGAATTTCTGTCTTACCAGTGATAACAATCACTTTCTATATTCAGTTGTTACCATTTGACTACACTTACTTCTTTTCTTTTAACCTGTCCTGCACATTGCCAAGCAGAATGCCTCACACAAGGCAAATCAATGAAAAGGGGACTAGTAAAGTCATAAGTTCCTGTTTAAGTATTAACAAGCAAGAGCGAGCATTTCATATATTATTTTACATTTGAGAACAAAAACGTAATATATTGTTCAAAGCATACATAATTTCAGTTATGAAGGATGAATAAGTCCTGCAGATCTCATGTACAGCTTAGGACAGAGAGCTGAACAATACTGTATTATATACTTAAACATCTAACAGGGTAGCTGTTGTATTAAGTGTTCTTATAACAAACAAATAGTAAGAGGAAGGAAGGAAACTTTTAGATGTGATAACTATGTTTATGGCATTGTTTATGGTGATGATTGCATGGGTGGATACTTATCTTCACACTCTTCAAGATGTATACATTAAATAAAAACACTTTTTGCATGTCAGTCTTACGCCAATAAAAAGACATCTGGGAATACAGTAAGTTATAGATAAAATGAAAAAATATCACTTTGAATTTAAAGTTAAAATTGGATTAACTATTGCTGGAAGCTGGTGAAAACCACAGTTACTTAAGCTTAAAGAGATGCACTTTCTACAGTGAAGAAGTAATTCAGATACAAAGGACTATTGATCAAATTTTCTAAGAGATTTGGTACTGCTACATTTCCTTTTTTAAAAAATATTTTAACTTTTAGGTTCAGGGGTATACATGTGAACGTTTGTTATATAGGTAAACTGTGACTCAGAGGTTTGGTGTACACATTATTTTGTCACCGGGTTACTAAACATATTACTTGACAGTTTCTTTGTTTTCATTTTTTTTTCTGAACCTCTGTCTCCTCCCACTCTCCTCCCTCAAGTAGCCCCAGTGTCTGTTGTTCCTCTCTTTCTGTCCTTGTGTTCTTATTATTTATCTCCCACTTATAAGTGAGAACATGTATATTTGGCTTTCCGTCTCTGCATTAGTTTGCTAAGAATAAAGGCCACCAGTTCCATTCATGTTCCTACAAAGGACATTATCTCATTATTTTTTATGGTTGCATAGTATTCCATGGTGTATATATACCACATTTTCTTTATCCAGTCTACCCTTATTTAGGTTGATCCCATGTCTTTGCTATTGTGAATAGTGCTGCAATGAACACATGTGTGCATGTGTTTTTATGGAAGAACAATTTATATTCCTTTGGGTATATATCCAGTACTGGGATTGCTGGGTTGAATGGTAGTTCTGTTTTTAGTTCTTTGAGGAATTTCCACACTGCTTTCCACAATGGTTGAATTTATTTACACTCCTACCAACAGTATTTAAGTGTTCCCTTTTCTCTGCAGCCTTGCCAGCATCTGTTATTTTTTGAATTTTTATAATAGCCATTCTGAATGGAGTGAGATGGTGCCTCACTGTGGTTTCGATTTGCATTTCCTCCAATAATCAGCGATATTGAGTGGTTTTTTTAATGTGCTTATTGTCCGCATGTCTGTCTTCTTCTGAAAAATGTCTGTTCATGTCCTCGGCCCACTTTTTAATGTTTTTTTTTCTTGTATGTTTAAGTGCCTTGTAGATGCTGGATATTAGACCCTTGTAGGATATATAGTTTGTAAGTATTTTCTCCCATTATTTTGGTTGCTATTTTACTCTGTTGATAGTTTCTTTTGCTGTGCAGAAGCTCTCTAATGAGGTCCCATTTGTCAAGTTTTGCTTCTGTTGCAATTGCTTTTGGCATCTTTGTCACAAAATCTTTGCAAGTTTCTATGTCAAAAATGGTATATCCTAGGTTACTTTTCAGGATTTTTATAGCTTTGGGTTTTACATTTAGGTCTTTAATCCATCTTGAGTTGTTTTTGGGGTATGGTGAAAGGAAAGGCTCCAGTTTGAATCTTCTGCATATAGCTAGACAGTTATCCCACTGCATTTATTGAACAGGCAGTCTTTTTCCCATTGCTTGTTTTTGTCAGGTTTGTCAAAGATCAGATGGTTGTAGGTCTGAGGCTCTATTTCTGGACTCTCTACCCTGTTCCATTGCTCTATGTGTCTGTTTTTGTACCAGTACCATGCTGTTTTGGATACCGTAGCCTTGCAGCACAGTTTGAAGTTGGGCAATGTGGTTCCTCCAGCTTTTTTTCTTTTTGCTTATGATTGTCTTGGATATTTGGGTGCTTATATGGTACCATATGAATTTTAGCATAGATTTTTTTTCTAGTTCTATGAAACATGTCATTGGTAGTTTGATAAGAATAGCATTGAATCTGTAAATTGGTTTGTGGAGTGTGGTCATTTTAGTCATATTGATTCTTTCTATCCAGAAGCATAAAATGTTCTTCTATTTGGTTGTTTCATCTCTGATTTCTTTGAGCAGTGTTTTGTAATTCTCATTGTAGAGCTCTTTGCTCTTCTTGGTTGGCTGTATTTCCAGGTATTTTATTCTATTTGTGGCAATTTTGAATGGGATTTGACTCTCAGCATGAGTGTTGTTAGTGTATAGGAATGCTAATGATTTTTGTACACTGATTTTGTATCCTGGAACTTTTCTGAAGTTGCTTATAGATCAAGGAGCTTTTGGGCAGAGATTATGGGGTTTTCTAGATACAGAATCATGTCATCTACAAACAGGGAGAGTTTGACCTCCTCTCTTCCTATTTAGATGTTTTCTATTTTTTATTATTATTATTATTGCCTGATTGCTCTGGCCAGGACTTCCAATAATATGTTGGGTAAGAGTGGTGAGAGAGGGTATCCTTGTATTGTTCTGGTTTTCAACGGGAATGCTTCCAGATTTTACCCATTTGGTATAATGTTGGCTGTGGTTTTGTCATGGATGGCTGTTATTATTTTGGGTAATGCTACTTCAATACCTAGTTTATTCAGGGTTTTTAACATGAAGGTGAGAGGTGACAGCATGCTGGCAGTCCTCACAGCCCTGGCTCGCTCTCGGGGACTCCTCTGCCTGGGCTCCTACTTTGGCGGCACTTGAGGAGCCCTTCAGCCCACCGCTGCACTGTGGGAGCCCCTTTCTGGGCTGGCCAAGGCCGGAGCCGGCTCCCTCAGCTTGCGGGGAGGTGTGGAGGGAGAGGCGCGAGCGGGAACCGGGGCTGCGTGCGGCACTTGCGGGCCAGCTGGAGTTCCAGGTGGGCATGGGCTTGGCGGGCCCCGCACTCGGAGCAGCCGGCGGGCCCTGCCGGCCCCGGGCAATAACGGACTTAGCACCCGGACCAGCAGCTGCGGAGGGTGTACTGGGTCCCCCAGCAGTGCCAGCCCACCGGTGCTGCGCTCGATTTCTCGCCAGGCCTTAGCTGCCTTCCCGCGGGGCAGGCCTCAGGACTGTAGCCCGCCATGCCTGAGCCTTCCCCCGCCTCTGTGGGCTCCTGTGCAGCCCGAACCTCCCCGACGAGCACCGCCCCCTGCTCCATGCGCCCAGTCCCATCGACCACCCAAGGGCTAAGGAGTGTGAGCGCATGGCGCAGGACTGGCAGGCAGCTCCACCTGCAGCCCCTGTGGGGGATCCACTGGGTGAAGACAGCTGGGCTGCTGAGTCTGGTGGGGAGGTGGAGAGTCTTTATCTCCAGCTCAGGGATTGTAAATACACCAATCGGCACTCTGTATCTAGCTCAAGGTTTGTAAACACACCAATCAGCACCCTGTGTCCAGCTCAGGGTTTGTGAGTTCACCAATTGACACTGTATCTAGCTGCTCTGGTAGGGCCTTGGAGAACCTTTATGTCTAGCTCAGGGATTGTAAATACACCAATCGCACTCTGTATCTAGCTCAAGGTTTGTAAACACACCAATCAGCACCCTGTGTCTAGGTCAGGGTTTGTGAGTGCACCAATCGACACTCTGTATCTAGCTGCTGTGGTGGGGCCTTGGAGAACCTGTGTGTCCACACTCTGTATCTAACTAATCTAATGGGGACATGGAGAACCTTTGTATCTAGCTCAGGGATTGTAAACGCACCAATCAGTGCCCTGTCAAAACAGGCCACTGGGCTCTACCAATCAGCAGGATGTGAGTGGGGCCAGATAAGAGAATAAAAGCTGGCTGCCCAAGCCAGCAGTGGCAACCCACTAGGGTCCCCTTCCACACTGTGGAAGCTTCGTTCTTTTGCTCTTTGCAATAAATCTTGCTACTGCTTTGGGTCCACGCTGCTTTTATGAGCTGTAACACTCACCGCGAAGGTCTGCAGCTTCACTCCTGAAGCCAGCGAGAACACGAGCCCACCGGGAGGAACGAACAACTCCAGACGCGCTGCCCTAAGAGTTGTAACACTCACCGCGAAGGTCTGCAGCTTCACTCCTGAGCCAGTGAGACCACGAACCTACCAGAAGGAAGAAACTCCGTACACATCCGAACATCAGAAGGAACACACTCCAGACACACCACCTTAATTAAGAGCTGTAACGCTCACCGCGAGGGTCCGCGGCTTCATTCTTGAAGTCAGTGAGACCAAGAACCCACCAATTTCGGACACAAAGGGATATTGAATTTTATCAAAAGCCTTTTCTGCATCTATTTGAGATAATCATGTGGTTTTTGTATTTAGTTCTGTTTATGTGACGAATCACATTTATTGATTTGTGTATGCTTAACCAACCTTTTATCCTAGGGATAAAACCTACATAATCATGGTGGATTTGTTTTTTGATGTTCTGCTGGCTTCAGTTTGCTAGTATGTTGGTGAGGATTTTTGCATCAATGTTCATTAAGGATACTGGCCTGAAGTTTTCATTTGTGTGTGTGTGTGTGTGTGTGTCTCTGCCAGGTTTTGGTGTCTGGATGATGCTGGCCTTACAGAATAAGTTTGAGATGAGTCTCTACTCTTCAGTTTTTTTGGAATAGCTTCAGTAAGAATGGTACCAGCTCTTCTTTGTACATCTGGTAGAATTCAGTTGTGAATCTCTCTGGTCCTGGGCGTTTTTCAGTTGGTAAGGCTCTTTGTACTGATTCAATTTCAGAGCTTGCTATTGTCTGTTCAGGGATTCAATTTCTTCCTGCTTCAGTTTTGGGAGGCTGTATATGAATGTACAGGAGTTTATCCATTTCTCCTAGGTTTTTCTAGTTCGTGTGCAGTGGACAGAGGTGTTCATAGTAGTCTCTGATAGTTATTTGTATTTCTTTGGCATCAGTTATAATATCCCCTTTATCAACTCGAGTTGTGTTTACTTGGATCGTCTCTCTTTTCTTCTTTATTAGCCTAGCTAGCAGTCAGTTTTATTAATTTTTTTCAAAAAACAATTCTTGTATTTTTTAATCTTTTGTATGGCTTTTCATGTCTCTGTATCCTTAAGTTCAGCTCTGATTTTGCTTATTTCTTGTCCTCTGTCAGCTTTGGGGTTGGTTTGTTGTTGTTTCTCTAGTCCTCCTAGTTGTGATGTTAGGTTATAAATTTGAGATCTTGCTAACTTTTTGATGTTGGTGTTGAGTGCTATAAATTTCCCTCTTAACACTGTCTTAGCTGTGTCCTAGAGATTCTGTTATGTTGTATCCTTCTTTGCATCAGTTTTAAAGAACTTTTTTACTTCTGCCTTAATTTCGTTATTTACTCAAGAGCAGTTTGGGAGCAGGTTGCTTAATTTCCATGTAATTTTATGGTTTGGAGCAATTTATTTGGCCTTGATTTCTATTTTTATTGCACTGTGGTCCAAGAGGGTGGCTGGTATTATTTCGGTTTTGGGGGGTTTGCTGAAGATTGTCTTATGTCCAATTGCACGGTTAATTTTAGAGTATGTACCATGTGGCAATGAAAAGAAGGTATATTCTGTTGTTTTGGAGTAGAAATTTCTGTAGATGTCGCTCAGATCCATTTGGCAACGTGTTGAGTTCAACTCAACTCTTGGTAATTTTTAAAATTACAAATCTCTTTGTAATTTTCTGCCTTGATGATCTAATACTGTAAGTGGGGTGTTGAAGTCTTTCACTATTATGGTGTGTGAATCTAACTCTCTTTGTGTATCTATCTCTAAGAACTTGCTTTCTGAATCTGAGTGTACCCAGGTTCAGTGCATGTAGATTTAAGATAGGTTGGTCTTCTTGAACCCTTTACTATTTTGTAATGCCTTTCTATCTTCTCATTTTTGTTTTATAAAGTTTGTTTCACCTGAAATTAAGGTTGCAACCTCTTGTTTTTTTTCTGTATTCCATTTGCTTGGTAAATTTTTCTCAATCCCTTTATTTTGAGCCTATGGCCTCCCAAAGTGCTGAGATTACAGGCATGAGCCACTGTGCCTGGCCGTACTCTGTGCCTTTTAATTGGGGCATTTAGCTTTTTTACATTCAAGGTTAGTATTGATATGTGTGGATTTGATCTTGTCATCATATTGCTAGCTGGTTATTATGCTGTCTTACTTGTGTGGTTGCTTTATAGCGACACTGGTATGTGTACTTAAGCGTGTTTTTGTAATGACTGGTAATGGTCTTTCCGTATTAAATGCTTCCTTCTGGAGCTCTTGTAAGGCAGGTCTGGTGGTCACGAATTCCCTTGGCATTTCCTTCTCTGAAATGAATCTTATTTCTCCTTTGCTTATGAAACTTAGTTGGCCAGATGTAAAATTCTTTGTTGGAATTTATTTTCTTTAAGAGTGTTGAATATAGGCCCCCTATCTCTTCTGGCTTGTAGGGCTTCTTCTGAGAGGCCCACTGTTAGTCTGATGGGCTTTCTTTTGTAGGCGATCTATCCTTTTTCTCTAGCTGCCTTTAACATTTTTTCTTTCATTTCAACCTTGGAGAATCTGATGATTAGGTGTCTTAGGGGTCATCTTCTTGTTAAGTATCTTGAGGGTGTTCTCTGCATTTCCTGAATTTGAATTACGGCCTCTCTAGCTAGGTTGGGGAAGTCCGCATGAATGATATCCTGAAATATGTTTTCCAAGTTGCTTCATTTCCTCCCATCTTTTTCAGGGTCATGAGTGATTCATAGATTTGTTCTCTTTACGTAATCCCATATTCCTCAAAGGTTTTGTTCATTCCTTTTTATTCTTTTTTCTTTATTTTTGTCTGACTGTTTCTCTCATATTGCAGAAAGCCAGTCTTCAACCTCTGAGTTTCTTTCATCGGCTTGGTCCATTCTGCTCTTAATACTTGCAATTGCATTATCAAATTCTTGTAGTGTGTTTTTTAGCTCTACCAGGTTGATTATGTACTTTTCTATTTTATTTTATTTATTTATTTATTTATTTTGTTGCGGGGGACGGAGTCTCCCTCTCTCCAAGGCTGGAGGGCAGTGGCACTATCTCCGCTCACTGCAAGCTCTGCCTCCCAGGTTCATGCCATTCTCCTGCCTCAGCCTCCGGAGTAGCTGGGACTACAGGCACCCGCCACCACGCCCAGCTAATTTTTTTGTATTTTTTTTAGTAGAGACGGGGTTTCACTGTGTTAGCCAGGATGGTCTCGATCTCCTGACCTCATGATCTGCCCGCCTCGGCCTCCCAAAGTGCTGGGATTACAGGCGTGAGCCACCGCACCTGGCCAATTATGTACTTTTCTATACTGGCTTATTTGTTTGTCAGCTCCTGCATTGTTTTATTGTGACGCTTACTTTCTTGGATTAGGTCTCAACATTCTCCTGAATCTCAATTACATTTTTACTTTTAATGTATTTATACAGGTTTCTATTTGTTATTGCAGAATTATTTCAAGTATGAAATAATTATGTATCCTTATTAATGTAACTCTTGTTTTAAATAATACTTGAGCTGTAAAAAAATGACAATTCAAGTATTATTTAAAACAAGACTATTTTAATAATGTTAAAAATCTGAGGTTTCCTTGTGAGTACATTTGTGATGATAAAATAAAATAATTTAGAAAACATGACTTGCCTAAAACATTGGATGATATTTAGTGACTTAAGGATACTCTTAATGGCAAATAGAACTGAGTATAGTCATGACTACTGTTTATAGCTACATTATTTTCATTTTTGACCTAGAAACATTTAAATTTAATAAAATTGGACATACAAATGAGCTAAAAAATTGGACGGTATTGGCATACTTAAAATAATTGTATAATAAGGTTATATTTTACCATGAAATATATATTAAAAAGGCACAAATTTTATATGAAATGCTGAAGAAATAATGAAATTTTGAAAAGATACTCATGGAAGCTACTAAAAGGATATTTTCTATTATCTTCATTAATAATTAATCCAACTGTAATGATCTTAATAGTAAATATATGTATTTAATTAATTTCTTAATATAATATGCATGTATTCTAAAACTCTGGTTATTTCCAGAGACTTTCTTTCTTTCTTTAACACTCAGGCAGCTATCACAATTGCATTCTATTCTATAATTTACTGCAAAACAAAAGTTTCCAAACTGTTCATCAGAAAGTAGAGAAAATGAATCACTCATTTTAAAAGTTTATTCAGTCCTCTTGATTATAAACTTTACTCAAATGAGTCTGTTTTGTTCTGTCCTATTTTTCCACAGAACTGTGAGTACCTCGCTATTTATAGTCCTATTCCCAATTTATTCACCTGCTGTTTGAGCACTTTAAAATTATTCAAATACTAGATTACATTTAGATATAATGCTAAAGATGATTTATGGCAGTTAACACTCAATTATAAACATCTCATCCTCTCAGGCAGACTTTAAAGGCTTAAACACTTTCTCATCTTATTTTAATTGATCCCTAACCCTTCTAAAAGGCAGTTGTTAAGATACTGTTAAAATTTTCTATGTGTATTTATGTGTCTATAAATGTATATATCTCATCCTATATTTTATATTTCTTGTTTTTTCACCTAATAAAATATCTCAGAGATTGAGATCTTGCACTGTCACTAAAAATACCTCTTTCACCATAGGACCAAAGCGAAGGACCAAAATAGGAGATGAGTTAAATATATATAATTGCTATAACCATTTAAAATAATCTTTCCACAATAATTTGTATTCTTTAGTATAAAACAATATTTCAGATGAGCATGATAAATGACTGTTGACATCTATGTAAAAATCTGAAAGTAAGAGGTGTTAGGAGACAAATTGACAGATGCCCAGAATTTTAAAATTAAGGTTTCTTCAAACTGAAAATTAGTATAGCAATCAACAAGAAATATAGGGCACTATTAGAAGAATATTTTGTGCATCTAGCTAAGTGGAGATTACTAGGATCCAGAATGTATTCCAGAACATATTCAATTGTCAGATATTTGATTTTGAATTCATGGTTCTGTATTTAATACATTAAATGCTGAGCCTGGCTAAGCATTTGTTAAATTTCTCATTGGAAAAAAAACCCAAAATGTGGTCTTTTTGACAAAACATTTAACTTAACAGAAAGATTGTGTTCTTATGAATTTCTTTAGAATATTAAAGGATAGATTAATATCAACATGAGGGTATCAAATAAAGAACTTTGTTTTTGACCTTGTTCATTTCAATGACTTAATTAAGAACTGGTTAGACAAGAAGGGCAGGAAACATAGTGACAAGAGGAACCAAAAAAAACAATGAGATCAAGAAGAAATGTACATGAAGGCGATCACATCAGACCGTGATTCACATAATGTCCTTTAATCTTATAAATTTTAGCCTGTTTTGAATAAATTATTTTGTGGCCCTCTCCTTACTTCTGCTAACAGTTTATCTTGTCAATTAAATGTTATTTCAAATAAGACTTTCCACATTAAAACAGCTCATGTTGGCTTGAAATTGTGAAGTAATGTATTATATTTTTCTGTTATTCTTGTGAAATGATTTCCCCAAATTTTGCACACACTATTATATTTCCTTTGAAGTACAGAAATACAGGAATGGTAAAAGTGAAAACTTCTCACTCGCAATTAGCAACTGATAATGCACCATATGATAGCTCAAAACCAATATCCACTGAAAATGGAAATCATCAAAGACCCAGCAATTGCACATTACCTTTCTAGATTTATATCCTATGCAGACTCTTGAAAAGTGCTACAAGTTATATGGATGTGCTCTGACTAACTAAAACACATGAGAACTGTTCTCATAATAGAAAAATATAACCAAACGGACAGAATATTGTATATTCATATAATCAAGTATTCCATAGCAATGGAAATGTAATAACTAAAATTGTATTTTAAAATATAGTTAAATCTGAGAATGGTGATAATGCATGAAAGTATCGGAATGCTTTACATAGATATGTAAGTTTTATATAAAGTTAAAATAAAGCAAAAGTAAACACTATTGTTTTGCTCATACACATGTAAGAGATAACACGTGGTAGTGAATACTATGGTGTATCAGCCAAAGCCCTCCTTTCTCCAGATGCAGGGATTGTTGCCCGTTGTTGGCTCACAGATTAGTCACTGCCCAGGGTTTTCCCTTAGCTGAAGGAGACTGTCTTACCCATGGTTGCGATCCTTCTTTCCAGTGAAGCCTGCATGCAAGGACTGGTTAATACAGAGGTGAAATGGTCTAGTCCCCTTGGGATCTCAACTAACCATTAGTGACAAAACTAACTTAAAATGTCATAATAATAAAATATAGAGGTTCATTTAACTTGTTTGAGATACTGTCTGATGGTTTTCAAATACTTCTTTTTTCAGGCTATAAGATGATTCACAGGATCTGGTTGCAAAGTATATGAACATTGACAAAATGGAACGTGGAATCCAAAACTGAGTGAATGAAGTGACAGTGTATTCATACAGTTCTAAACTTCTCTCATTATTGAGAGATAAATTAGAGAGGAACCAACACTTTCTTAAAATGCTTTCCTATTTAGACATCTGGAGGCTCTACTCTGTAAGCCAAGAATGAAAGTAAGAGATATCCCCATGAAGTTTGCCTCCTAATTTCAATGAGGATGATGGGTTTTGGAAGTAGCAGATATAAGTTGCAGCTCTTAACTGCGAGAGTCAAAGTTTATGTGTTTTCTATCATGGGGTGCAAAGTTGTCCAGAAATCATAATGGTGTGATCCTCAGAGACTTTTGGTGGCTGATGATTAATCATTATTTTCTGAGCACTCCAGGTTTGGGCAACATCCTAAAGTTTTACTTAACCCGTATAAATAAAAATGATTCCAATCTCTTTAATTAAGACTGCATTTGAGATTTATACATTTTCATTCCATTTCCCTATCAGAGCCAGTTTACAGATTTAGAGTGCATTAATGAAAGTAGGGTTTCATACTTATAAGGCAGAAATGTGAAACATTCTATAAGTAAATAAACAATACTCCCCCTAGCCGTCCTTTAAAAGACCAGTGAAAAGATATCACTATAACTCTCAATTTTGGAGATTTACTGGGTACTGACATGGAGGTGTTGTAAATCCCTGAGGATAGAAAGCTTCGCTGTCGTCCACTAATCAGAAATGGCAAAAGAAATTTTGTTCTAGGACTTTTTTACAGTGGGAATAGTGGATTGAAAGTCTCAAGCTTCATTTATTTCCACACAGGTCACTAATTTATAGTTTAGAAGTTTGAATAGAAATACTAAAAAAGGTCTACAGCCATACCACCCTGAACGAGCCCGATCTCATCTGATCTCAGAAATACTAAAAAAGACAAAGAAAAAGAAAAAAAAAGAACAATCTTTCCAATAGCTTCCTGACTAGTGGACGAGGGACTATTAATTTGGGAAAAAACGAGTTGGAAGGCCCTGTTCTATCATTCTCTATCACTCCTTCTCACCAACATGATAGGAGTTCCAATCACATTCCACTTAGCTCTTTTATTCATTTACTTAGTATATGCAGTAACATGGATTTTGGAGAAAAATAGCAGGTTATCATAAACTTATTCAGGTAGTAACTCTAATTGCAGCTTCTGCTTCAAATGAAATCTCTTTAGTGAAGTAAATAAATATAGCCCTCAACATCAGGTATACAGATATTGATTTGATTTTTTTTCTTTCTTTTTGCTGTAGTTATTAGCCAAGATCATCATACGCTGCTTGATTTTTACGTGTTAGGGACAGCAGTACTTCTTCTCCTTATCCCCTCAAGGCTATGCCAAAGCTTCAGTTGCTTGTCATGATCTACTCTGTAAGAATGATTACTATTTTGATATCCTACAGAACATTATGTTCAGCCACCACTTTGATGACATGCCAACGCAGTCTGGTCAAAGGGAGTTAGCAAGTGTGCACAATGCCTTCAAAGGCAACTTGCTTACCAGCTGGTGGGAGATTAAAAAGATAGAGGGGTCTACCTCATCAGTTACCTTTAGGGCATTTATTGATTTGAAACAGAGATCTCTCCCAAATAGCTTTAACGGCTTACTGTATTTTGCCCCTCACATTCCAGAAAAATAAGCAATGCTTGATGGACCTTTTGAGATTCTGGATATAAAAAATACAATGTCTGATTATGAGATGACTTGTGATCAGCATCCTAAGCTGTCAATCAAGACAAATCTGAATTATCAAGCCATACATATGTGGATATAAAGTAATAATCCATCCTTAGGTTTAATATGTGAAAGTTGTCTGAAAGAAATGGAATCACTTGTGTTAAAAACAAGAAGAAACTCTGAAAAATAGTGCTGAGAAAGGCCATGAAGGACTCTCATGCATAAATGACTTAGAATAAAAGCTGTCATAAAGGACTCTACAAAAACCACAACCTTGCACAAAGGTCATTGCAACCTTACACAAAAAATACTTCTCTGAGGACCTCTGCCTAGGAACTGCCTGGGCAACCACTGACTGGCACCACTCCTGTCATTAATCCTTGTAGTCACGGATAATTATCTCAAAGCCATTATGTAGTCCTTCTCATATTTCCTTTAAAAATCTTTGTCTTCCTTTACTTCCTTGAATACAGATACAGTTTACTACAGCATGCATATTGCCATTGCAATGCTCTATTGCTAAATAAATATCTTTTTCTCTTAGCCTCTTTCTGTTTGTTAATTAGGTTGACAAGCAAAATAAATAAGATAAAGTTCAAATAGAGCTAAAAGTGTAATTAAAATTGCATGCTCATCTCCCCTTAGAGATACATTTAAAGCCTCATGATGAGGCCCTTCTGGCCTGCTAAATAAGGAAAAAAATACAGTGGACTCTGGTTTATAGTTGAGTCTACAGTAAACATCACTAGATTTTGGACTGATACAACACAACCCTTCTCAAGATGCCCAGAAGTTACAGTGGAACAAATAAATCCACTGTTTGCAGGATTTTATGCGGTGGAATTGTTTTTTCACCTTGACTGTAAAGGGAGATGGTCTGACTTGAAGAAATACAACAATTAATAGGCAGTGTTTAATGTGTTGGCTGAGTGGTTTTCTTCCTGGGAAGACAAGATAAGAAGGCTGGTGACAGGGAGAAGTGGGGAGGAGGAATACGCAGCTCTAGAGGAATGACAGGGTCTGGAAATATTTTCATCCCAATCTATGGGAATATTTCATGGCCACATCCACTTGAATGTCATATGTAGCACCTTCACCTAAATTCCATTTGCCAGACCTCAGTTCTATGACACCAAACTGAAGGAAGTAATCAGGTAGGCAGTGTGACTAGCTGTGAATGTTAACTTTTTCCCAAGTCAATATAGTGATTGCTCAATGGGCTCATGACAAAATGATCATGGTAGCTGGGTTGAAGATTATATATGTAATCAACAACATGGGTTTTCCCCTCATCATTGTTAATCGTGCTCCTGTCACCATGGAGCACCTAACCTGCCAGTAATAAATCCCAATGTTGAGTCACCTCTACAGCATTTTTGATGGGGGGAGAGATGAAGCCAACCTCTTAGGAGAATAATGAGGTATGAGAATTTCTGTAAATGTAGGTGTGATAAGAATAAATGGATAAGAATAAAATATTAGAGTCAAATTTTAAGAATTTTAAATAGTGTATTATTTGCTAGTGCTGCCCTACTAAAATGCCACAGGCTGGGTGGTTTAAACAACAGAAATTTATTTTCTCACAGCTCTGGAGGCTGGAAGTCCAAAACTAGGGTGCTGGTGGAGTTGGTTTCCTCTGAGGCCTCCGACCTTGACCATAGAAGGCCACCTTCTGGCTGTCTCTTCAAATGGTGTCCTTCCCTGCATGCATACCCTGGTGTCTCTCTGTGTGTTCTAATCCCCTCTTATTAAAAAACAAAAACAAACAAACGAAAAAAACCAGTCAGATTGGAGCACGGCCCAGCCTACTGGCCTCATTTTAACTTGACTCCTTAAAAGCTCTACCTCCAAATACAGTCGTCTTCTGAGGCATTGGGAGTCAGGGCTTCAACACAGGAATTTGGGGGAATGCAATTCAGCTCATCACAAAAGGGAAGCAACTGCGAGTGAAAACAAGAATGAGGGTAGCCACTAGACTGTTTGATTGAAATGAATGAAAATAAAGGGTACCAGAGAAAGGAAGTTTTAAAGGAACTGAAAAACTAGAAAAGTTGCTGTGAAACTCTGGTGAGCATATGTCAACCCGAAGGTTAGTTTTAACATGCATTTAAATCACCTAGCCCTAGAGATTCTGCATTTCAACAAGGGTAACTGGTGGTTCTGAGAAAAGTTTATTATGGAAAAGATATTGAGAAATACTAGGTTATGATGTTAGATGAATCCAAAGAACACTGAAGTCACTTAGGATAACAGCAGACCGGGGTCAAATAGGAAAAGAGTGATCTAGAACCAGGTATTACGTGTTTCCGCTTTTGATTATCTTGCCTGGAAAAATTTCTAATGACTTGAATACTGCCTAAACGATAAGGAGGGAAATTACAGACTTTAGAATTTTGAAAAGTGTGTACTAGCCAGAGCACATTTGCTATATCATGTTCAGATATGGGTTTAATGTGTTACTAGTGGATGAAATTTTTTTAAGTGGCTGAAATCTTGAGAAAACAATAAACCATGGTATATAAATGATAAAGAAATTAGTAATTCTGTTAGCCTAGAAGAGAGATGAGTTCAGGTATGACAATTGTTTCGACTTTCACAGAAATATAAAGTAGAAGTAAATTTCTTTTTTTATTCTTTGTAATTCCAGAGGAGAGAACTAACATTAATGAATACGAATCATAGGGACATAAATTTTGACTCAATACAATAGAACTTTAAGATAAATAGAGCTTTCTGAATATGGAATGAATGACCCAATTTAAGCCCCCTATTTCTATCTCTGAATGTGTTTAGGTAAAATATGAATCATCACATGTTTGAAATAATTTTGAGGAATTTATCCAGGAAGTTAGAGACTGAATTAGATGGCATTTAAGCATCAGTTTATGTCATTTCACAAACTGAAGTTTTGAGAATTTTATTACTTTTTCAATTAAAAAAACACTGCCCTTGAAAAATCCGTAATACATTAAAATCTTAAATTCTTTCTTGCACCTCTTACAAATGCTGTGAACCATTTACTCATAGTTATCTGAAACTGAAAAATTAGTAAAATATGGTTAAAAATTATAATTCCTTAGAATTGAATAAAATGAGCTTTACATAGAAAATTTTAAAATACTTACAAACAATAGACATGGAATTCCAAGGAAATTGACTAGGACTTCTTATGGCAAATGTATTAGGTAAAGGTGGCGGGAGTCTAGCTGCAGTAAACCCTCTAATCCTTTTCCCTGTTGGAGTTTTCTCTGCTATCTTCTCAAGTAATCCCTGCTAACAATCAGACTGACAGGAATGAATATTTGAGCTCTAAATGCTAATCTATCTCACTCCCTTGCCAGGGCCCCACTTATCTCAGCACAGTGAAAAGCAAAATCTCCCCTCAGTCTCTGCCCAGACAGCCAGTGCCAACTTCTCCAGATTTTAATCAGACGTTGGCAGTTGGCCCTTAGTGATTTGGCATCCCGGGAACTTTCTATGCAATGCAAGAGAGTTAATCTAACCCGAGGCATAGTTTATCATAATGTTCTGTTATTGGCTTATACCTGCCTGGGAAGAGTTGTTACTGATAACTCTATTCATAATCATAGATTACTAGAAACTTAAAATGTGTATGAAGTAACAAGAGCCACCTTCTGCCACACCTAATCAAGTGTAAAGAACTCAAAAAAGCCTGCACAATCTTCTTTCTCATGTCTTCACAGAAATACCTGCAAAACAAATAGAGGCTTTCCTTATGTCATAATTTATATTTTCCTTTTATTTTTAGTTGACTGTAATAACTGTACATATTTATGGGATACAGTGATACTTCAACACATTTGTACAATATATAATGACCAAATCAGGGTAATTAGTATATCGATCAGCTCAAACATTGATTTTTTTTTTGTATTTGGAACACTGAAATTTGTCTTTTAATTTTTGAACATATACAATGAATTTTTATTGACTGTGTTGACTCTACAGTGCTGTAGAACGCTAGACCTCATTTCTCCTATCTAGCTGTAATTTTATATCCACAACCTCTGCCTGTTGTCCCCTCCCCACAACCCTTTCCAACCTGTAATAACCATAATTACATTCTCTACTTCTATAAGAGTAGAAATTGATTAAGCTCCCAAATATGAGTGAAATCGTATGGTATTTGCCTCTCCGTGTCTGGCTTACTTCAGTTACCATAATGTTTTCTCCAAGTTCATCCATACTGTCAAAATGACAGGATTTCATCCCTTTTTTATAGCTGAATAGTATTTTTTAGGGTGGTGCAAAAGTAATTGAGGTTTTTACCATTAATTTAAATGACAAAAACTGCAATTAGTTGTGCTCCAACCTAATCTTATGCATATATAATAATTTCTTTATTCATTTATCTGTTGATAGACACACTGATATCATATCTTAGCTATTGTGAATAGTGCTGCAATAGACATGGAGGTGAAGATATCTCTCCAATATACTGATTTGCTTTCTTTTGGATACATATCCAGTTATGGGATTGCCGGATCATGTGGGATAGAAGGAACATACCTCTAAATAATAAAGCCATATATGACAAACCCACAACTAATATTATATGAACAGGAAAAATCTGAAAGCCTTTTCTCCAAGAATTAGAACAAGGATTCCCACTTTCACCACTCTTATTCAACATAATATTGGAAGTCCTAACCAGAGCAATTAGGCAGGAGAAAGAAATAAACGGCATTCAAATTGAAAAAGAGGAAGTCACTTTGTACCTCTTTGCAGACAATATGATCTTATATATAGAAAAACCTAAAAATTCCACCAAAATCCTCTTTGAACTATTAAAAACTTCAATAAAGTTCTTGGATACAAAATCAACCTACAAACATCAGTAGTGTTTCTATAACAATAACAAAACTAGCTGAAAAAGAAATTGAGAAAGCAATTTCATTTATAATAACTACAAAAAATACATAAAATGTCATAGATTACTAAACATTTCAGTTCACATTTTCCTTCTATATTTAGAATGCTATGACAATTCCCTTATAAATGCCTTGCTTGTAAAAAAAAAAAAAAAAAAAAAAAGGATATCTCAAATACTTGCTCTAAGGTTAAAAGAGATATTGCATTTAAAAGGCTCAGTGTGTTTTTATCTACTTTTTTCCCAGAAAAATGTTTAAGGAAGGAAGAGTGAGGCATACGCTAACATTTTACTGTCAACTACTGCATTCAGCTTCAGTGCTTGATTTCCATTGAGAGATAGCAAGTATCCATACAACCAATAATCTTTCTCAAGACAGAAAAATCTATTTGACTAATAGGATATGAAGATGTTTTAGAGGTGCTGATTGCATAAAACTCATACAGTTCAAAATTAAATAACAAGCTAGTACTGAAAGGTATATAAATCTGCAGCAATAGATCCACAATATATCATAATTTTAGAATGAGAATTAGGTTTCATTTTCATTTTATGTGTCCCAGGGCTTTACATATTTTCTGAAAAAATATTTTTAAAAATTCATTTAAAATAAATGAATCCATTCTCCTGTCTGAGAACGAGTGAATTCTCCTGTCTGAGAATGAGTGAATTCTTCTGTCTGAGAATGAGAGAATGCTAAAAACATTTGACAAATAAAACTAAGGAATAATTATTGATAACCCTCAGGTATAGTATTATATATGTTTTCCATAATTTAAGTAGTTGATTAACAGTGTTCTTTATGTGTAGAGGTATATACATATACATGTACATAAATATATATATGCTTTTATGTGTAGATATACAAGCATATGTATATATATACACATACATATATATCTTGATTTAATTTTACTAGTTGAATATTACTAGAAAAACTATAAATACATCGGTTTATATGAACATGTTTTAAATAATAAAAACAGATTTTATTTGTTTCAGTGCTTAAAATTAATTTAAATATTCTATAATTGCATTATTAAATATGCTGCATATTTTATAAAATTCTGAATATATGATGTTCTTAAGAATTATGTTCTCTTTAAAAATGAAGATATAATTTTCTCAAGGATAGTAATAGATCATTTTCAAATGCATTGTTCTCCTTCTAAAATTTTCTTTTTTTTTTTGAGACGGAGTCTTGCTCTGTTGCCCAGGCTGGAGTGCAGTGGCATGATCTCGGCTCACTGCAAGCTCCACCTCCTGGGTTCACGCCATTCTCCCGCCTCAGCCTCCCGAGTAGCTGGGACTACAGGCGCCCGCCACCACGCCCGGCTAATTTTTTGTATTTTTAGTAGAGAAGGAGTTTCGCCTTGTTAGCCAGGATGGTCTTGATCTCCTGACCTCGTGATCCTCCCGCCTCGGCCTCCCAAAGTGCTGGGATTACAGGCGTGAGCCACCACGCCCGGATACATTTTTTAATTAAGTAAATAAAACATTATCAGCTTACCTCACCTATGATTTTAGAGAATGAATACCAAGGCAACTTAAAAGGTTAGTAAGGCTTTGTGACCTTTTTACTTTCCCTTGCCCCAACCCCCTCCCTGGCTCTGTGGTGACCTTGAAGACAAAAGCCTGTGTTCCCAGTATGGGATGCTCCTCCTTGTTCTGGAGATACCAGAGCAGGCCTTATGTGTAATGAATTGTGTTTGTTTTACTCTGGCATTACTTGAATGGGTGACACAAAGAGCTTGTCTCTTTTTGGGCTAACTCCTAACCCTCAAACTTCAGAAAAGAGGTGGACATTTTCCAAAAACACACTAAGACAACCAACTTACAGCTATCTGGGGCAAAATATTGCAGTGAGGCCAAGAATAGAGCACCAAAGCTTGGCTGGAAAACCTAGAAAGAAAGTTTATTTGAGATATAAAAGTACTCATAAGATAAATATACATACATATATAGCTTGATTTAATTTTACTAGGATAACAATATTACTAAGATAAATAAAACTAAGGAATAATGATAACTCTCAGGTATAGTAGTACATATGTTTTCAATAATTTAAGTAGCTAATTAACAGTGTTCTTTATGTGTAGGTGTATATACATATCCATGTACATAAATATATGTATGTTTTTGTGTGTATACATAAAAGCATATGTGTATATATATACATACATATATATCTTGATTTAATTTTACTAATTGAACAATATTACTAGAAAAACTATAAATACAACAGCTTATATGAACATGTTTTAAATAATAAAAACAGATTTTGTTTCGGTGCTTAAAATTAATTTAAATATTCTATAATTGCATTATTAAATATGCTGCATATTTTATAAAATTCTGAATATATGGTAATTTGTCTTTGTTTGTCTTTACTGTGTATACTGGGGAATTTAGAAATCACATGCATATCAAAAGCAGGACACACCAGAAAACAGAGCTTTTAAACAATGGCTGATCTTGGGCACATTAAAAGCACGAATTTAAAGCTAAAGGCAAAGTTGTAAATAGATTGGCTAAAGGTTGAAGGAGTGGTCTAGCACAGAGCCAATTTGCAAGGACTAGAGCGGTTTTTATTTTATTTTCAAAAATTTTTTCTCTATCTCCATTTATTGATCTATTTTTATCATTTTTTTTGGCCTCTCATGTTTAAAAAAATCTTTATCAAAACACTAGCTGAGGCCAGGCACGGTGGCTCACGCCTGTAATCCCAGCACTTTGAGAGGCTGAGGAGGGTGGATCACAAGGTCAGGGGTTCGAGACCAGCCTGGCCAACATAGTGAAACCCTGTCTGTACTGAAAAAACAAAAAATTAGTTGGATGTGGTGGTGGGTGCCTGTAATCCCAGCTACTTGGGAGGCTGAGGCAGGAGAATCGCTTAAACCCATGAGGCGGAGGTTGCAGTGAGCTGAGATCATATCACTGCACTCCAGTCTGGTTGACAGTGCAAGACTGTCTCAAAACAAAACAAAACAAAACAAGAACACTAGTTGAGCACAAGTGTCAACCTGAAGTGATTGAAAGAATAACAATCCGCTGTTATTCACGTAAAAAGCTGGGAATAGCCATTTGGGAGACACAGAATCCAGAGAGATAGGGTCAGTGTTCCAAAATTCAAAGTTAATTTCTTGCTTGTATAGGCAGAAAACAAATACATCTCACAGGATTATGACATTTTCAATACAAAGCTAGTTTAAGAGCAACAACAAATTAACTACAGTTTGTATTTCCTGTACAGCTTATTTTCTCTTCTTTACAGTAATTTTTCATTTCCTTTTCTATTTAAAAGTCTTAAATTATTATTCCATCTTAAAATAATATGATAGCCACGCACAGTCTGTGTGAGAAAGGCAACAAAAAAGTTAATCTATAATGAAGATCAATTGTCAATAGTAAAAATGTCTTCTCTGGCACCTTTCAGTAATTTAACACATCTATAAAACAACTCAGGTAAGGACTAAGGCTAATCTATAATCAGAGAAATAAAGGTTACAGTTGCTTAGGTTACAGCTGCCTATTGTTGACTCAGGCTCTGTATTCACATTGCTTTGAGGCTCAAAATAAATTTCAACAGCTTAGATTTTGAATCACTTAACTTCATATAAGTTAAGGAACATAGAATTGAGAGACTATACATGACAAATAATACAGATTTACAAAAATAGTTTAGAAACAGGCACAGAGCAAAACAAGAAATAAGACAGACTGTGGGGATAATAAATTATCTGCTTTCCAGAATTACCACATTATAATATTCAAAATGTCTGTTTTTCAACAAAAAATTAGGAAGCATGTGAAGAAACAAAAAGTATAGAAATATAGCTCATAAAAAAAAACAGAGACTGTCCCTAGAAAAACAGACATTGTACTTACTAGTCAAACATTTCAAGTCAAATATACACTGAATGACTGAAGGAAGTCATGGGTGAAGAGTTAAAGAAAATTAGGAAAATGAGGCATGAACAAAGAATTTCGTTAAAGAGATAGAAACTATAAAAAGAAACTAAATAAAAAATCTGGAGTTGAAAGTACAAGAACTAAAACGAAAAACTCACTAGAAGTTTTCCAAAAAAGATTTGCATACATTGAAGAAAGAATCCATGAATTTGAAGATAGGTCAGTTGAAATTATATAGTCTGAGGCATAAAAAGAATGAAGAAAAATCAATAGAGTCTAGGAGACCTCTGGAGCACCATTCACATAAAGCAACATACACATAAAAGGAAGCTCAGAAAGAGGGGACAGAGAAAGGACAAACATGAAGTAAAAGTAAGACATTCCAGATAAACAAAAGCTGAGGGAGTCTGCACTCCCAAGAAGAATGATAAAGGAAGTCCTTTAGGAAGAAATGAAAACAAACAAACAAAAAAACACTAGATAGCAATTTGAAGCCATATGAAAAAATAAAGAATTATGATAAAGTTAAATACAGAGATAAATATAAGACTAGTGTTATTGAATTTTTGGTTTATAACTTCTCTTTATATTACCTGTACACTTTTGGAAGATAAAGAAGAGATGGATAGGTTGATCACTCAGCAAGCAAAGTCCTTTTACAAGAAAAGGAAGAACATGCCACAGTTATGGAAAGAACTATTGATAAATTCAAGTTCCTGGACCTTAATTCATGAAACTTTGTTTCATTTGATTTTGGGTGGTGTCTAGGAACTTGAAAGCTTTTTGTCTTTGCGAGATTATGTGGTTCTTATGTGCAGATAATTTCTCTAAGTGATACCTTCTTTAAGAATTAATTTTCATGGGAAAAATACCGAGGTCCAATCCAGGAAGTTTGGGCTTGGTTTTGTTGATGCCTTGCTCACAAGTTTACAAAATGCTAATTCTACACATTCTGGTGATTGAAATAAAAAGAAAGAAAGCAATTTTTATCCCCAACACTTCAAGTTAGCACAGGTGACAATGATGTTTAGATAAAACTCTTTCAGCAAACAAGAAAGACCTAATTCATAAATGAAAAAATAATATATATATATCCATTTATTATCAGAGGAGAAATTTTCTTATATATAACAGAGAAAAAATAATAAAAACAAAGATCAGCGTATTCATCTACTTCCACAGCGTGATTTTGTATTTTAGAAGAACACAAAAAGTTATTGAAAGAAAAAAAATTACATACATTATTACTTAACAGCAGAATTAACTCTCTAGTTCTTCTGAGAGCAATGAGATGCTCACTATAAAGTAAGTATAATATTTTACCATAACCTCATTTCCAAATCTGTTGAGGCAAATGAAAGTGTTAAGGTTCATTGTCAAAGCTAATTGTTGTGAAGTTCTAATAAATGTTTTTCAGATATAATGTATCTAGTTAAAATTTTTTTCCTATAAGTAGGAAAAAAAACTGGTGTCTCATATTTACATATGTATTTGTAATTTATTTTTTATGTTAAATTTCAATTTACTCATAAACATGATTCTTAAGGATGTCTTATATGAAACTTCTTGTAAGACACAGCTTCAATTTAGCAGGACTGCATCCATGGAAGCCCTTTGAAAGGCCAGTGCATATTGGATATGGCCAATGCATTGGCCTCTCCCAGTGTGTTGCACCTCTCCCATTACCACAAGGACATTGGCCATATCCAATATGCATCGGCCTTTCAAACAACTTCCATGGATGGAGTCCTGCTAAATGGAAGCTGTGTCTTACAATAAGTGAGTGACTAGTAGTCATTTACCATGGCTAGACAAAATTTAATAATGAAAGATTATGCTATCTTTAATCTACTTTCAATTGATTCATCAGAAAACAATCCTACAGATGAATACAAAAAGAAATCAGTGTGGTGAAATGTTAACATTTGCACATCTAAATGAGGGATATATATATTATATATATATATATATATATTCTTCTATGCTTGTAACTTTCTGTAGGTGTCATTTTTTAATCACAATTAAAAGTTGGAAAATAAATGAAATAACGTATTAACCCTCCACACATAATCATAATTTTTTAAAAAAAATTTAAATTTTTTGAGACGGGGTCTCACTCTGCCACCTAGGCTGGGAGTGCAGTGGTGTGATCTCAGTTCACAACAGCCTCAACCTCGTGGGCTCAAGTGATCCTCCTACCTCAGTTTCCCAAGCAGCTGGGTCTAGAGGCATGCACCACCATACCCAGCTAATATTTTTTGGCATTTTTTGTAGAGACGGAGATTCCCCTTGTTGCCTAGGGTAGTCTCGAATTCCTGAGTTCAAGGAATCCTCCTGCCTCAGTCTCCCAAAGTGCTGAGATTACAGATGTGAACCACTGCGCCCAGCCAAAAAATTTTTTATATAGCTGGACACATTCCAGTTTTAACATGCCATCATGAGTTAGCACACAGTTTTGGAGTCTGTATCAGTTGTCTTTTGACTGATACAGTTAAAAGGAAAAAACATTTCCTTTTAAGAAACTAAACCAAACCCTCGTGGCATTTAACAAGCAGTGTGTATTGGGCACACTGTTGAGTCAGCTGACAGTTGGCTATGTGAATCTTCCTTGTTGATCTGGCTTACAGATTTGAAGGCTGGATGGCAGATGGCTGATCAAAGCCTTGGACTGCTTTCTTGCAAATCTCCCATTACCACAAGGACATGCCAGAAGTAGCCTGCAAGAGAGCCACAGAGGAAGCAGAAACATCCCATAGATGTCTTAAGTCAGAACTACACATCATCAGTTCCACCGAGTATATTAACTAAAGAAAGCCACAAAACCTGTCCATATTTAAAAGGTAAGGAAATAGACTTGATCCCTTTAGAAGAACTACGGAATAGTCTGGCAAAAATACAGATACAGGGAGAGATAAGAAATTGTGGCCATCTTTGCAAGCTAACAGACTATCTTTCTCAGATCTACTAAAAACATAGAAAAGTCCACACCTTTTTCCTTTAAAGAGGTTTTACTGAGACAGGAAGAATGCAACCCTACACTATCATGAAAACATAAAGTTTAGAGAATTTAGCATTAGCCTACACTATGTGTCCTTGTTCAGAAAACAGTAAATAATAAGCATGTTATTAACTCAACCCCAAAATGCTGTTTTTATACCACAGCATAATACATAATAATAGTAACAGAATAAATAACACTAATATTATTATCAGAGAACATGCCACCTCAATGTAGCCTCCAGTTTATGTTGTAAGAAAAAATTAATCCTCATTTTATGAATAAAGCAATTGGAGTTCATGGAAGTTAAAGAATTTGTTCAAGGCTTCCCTTCTAGAAATGGTAAGACTAGGATTGGGCCAAAGTGTATCTAAATCCAAGGTTTACAGTACAATATCTGAACCTTCCTAATTGAATCAGCTCAACTTATGGGTTTAGAGGATATTGAAAAAGAAAAAGGAAAAAGCTCTTGCTGTTTCCAGTATCTTAATAAATTAGATAATTAGTAAGCAAACATTCTGTTTACTATATTCTCAGTATGGTGATAAGAATTATATAGAGTGAAAAGTCTGAGAGTTTATGGTCTACTTGAAAAATAAATCTATAAGGAACAATAGTGGCAATTTGGGCACATAGTACATCGTTGATTAATTTTAGGTCCTGCTCTTCTTACTCCGGTATTTAAGAATTTGTCTTAAAGTTATCCTATTACTACATGCCAAGATTCTGGTACATGTGTTGTCACTCTAAACTTTTTAACCCCTAACCTGGCACTTGGCACATAGCTCTGATTCTTTTCTTCCCCTAATAAAGTGGCTTGAGCATAGTTGATGCAGTGATTTCAGCCATCTTCATAAAGGAAAACAAAACGGTCTTAGAGTTTCTGGAACAAACGTGAGAATTGTGAACACTTTCCTTTTAAATATATGGTGAGTTGGTTATTTCAATAGTATAAATGCGGTCAGCGTTTCAGAGGGTGCATCTTATAGTAAATTTTTATGTTGCTTTCAAGGGAATCTTCATCATTAGAATGTGAAGTTGATGAGATCCAAAATTTAAAAGATTGGAGTAAGCATTAGGAATTTTAAAAATATAAGACTACAAATACTGATTAAGCTTAAAGGAAAAGGGCCAGAACTGTGAGGGTGGCATTCAATGAAGAAACCTTTAGGACATGTTCGAGCAAATGTAATTATACATTGGGGAAAATTAGCCATAGATCTTCCTAGAATATATTAGTGGGTGAATTTTTAGAGCTTATGTCTTCTACATCTCTATTGGGTAATATTGCCTCCTTTTTACTAATTCTTGAGTATTTTCTTGCATAAAGTATTTAATATTTATATTGTTTTAAATAGCGGTATATCTGCTGTTACTTTAGAATAATTATACTCACATAAAATCAATATGAGAAACTGCAAAAGAAATTGAAGTGCTTAAGAAATCCATAGAAGCTTGATTCTGCTCATTTTAAAATAACCATAAAATTTTCTCTTTTGTACTTGACTGACTTTCCACGATAGGTGCTAGACTTGCATCTTCTTAGGTTACTTTCTGGTAATTTTTTAGATAATTAGCAGTGCCATTAAAGAACCAAAGAAAAATAACCATTATCCAACAGACTAAGTGAAATACATTAGGCTAACTTAGATATCTGCAAAAAGAAATAATTTTACAATATATAAGGAAGTAGGAATTTATATTTATTTATTTATTTATTTATTTATTTATTTATTTATTTATTTATTAAAGACGGAGTCTCACTCTGTCGCCAGGCTGGAGTGCAGTGGCGCGATCTTGGCTCACTGCAACTTCCACCTCCCGAGTTCAAAAGATTCTCCTGCCTCAGCCTCCTGAGTAGCTGGGACTACATGTGTGCGCCACCATGCCCAGCTAATTGTTGTATTTTTAGTAGAGATGGGTTGTTGGCCAGGATGGTCTCAATCTCTTTACCTCGTGATCCGCCTGCCTCGGCCTTCCAAAGTGCTGGGGGAAGTCGGAATTTATATACACAAATCTGCATAAGCATAGTCGAAATTTCAGATTTCAGATAGTGTCCTGATTAAATGGAATGATTAAATATAACCAGTTCAACATAGGGAAGCCTACTATATAGTCTTACAATCAATGTATACTTACGATTGTCTTGAAGAACTAACAGATAAAAAAAACAAGCTAAGCTAAAAACAAAATTCTTCAAACTACAAACATAAAATCACAGATGTGCCTGCAAGAAGAAAAAAACAATCACCATTTGGAGGGGGACTATTGTCTATAAATTCACAGATACTTCCCTTTGGATCACAGATTTTTTTCCACTTGCATACCAAATGCATTACAATTTTCAAGAAGTTCCTGAAAATCTGAACAGTATTTCATTAAAAAATATTTCAATGGGCTTAAAAAAACAAAATTAGGTGTAATTGGAATTTTTAAATTACCTTTAAGTTTGTAGCTGTTATCATTAACTAACTATTAGCTTTGGTCAATGGTGCTTTTAATTCTTTTAGACCGTTCCATAGTGGATACTTGCCATTTCTTTTGTCTAGTGAGCATCTGAATTTACATTTTCCAAATTCCCCTTTTTGTAAGGTGGACCTTGTCTTCCATTGCAAATGTTGAAGAAACCAAATCTCACTTTCCCAGCATTCCTTGATGCTTTATCAATCACACCTATATCATGTGACCTAAGCTTTTTCTATCATATGTTCTTCCTCCAAAATTTGAATGTATACAATGAGGCAGCCACTTCTTGTCATCTTGCATGGTGCCTTCAACTACTTCAGGTTCCCATGAGTGGAAGAGACAGAAATTCTGGAGCAGCTCCCATTAGCTGTGTGAACAGAACCACTGTGGTGTTCCTGGCCAAAGGGGATGCACGTAGTGTTTTCACAGGACAAGTTCTCCAGAATAGAACAGAGTTTAATTTTTGTTTTTCTTGGCTACATGTATATGAACTGTGATTCTCCATTTTCCTGGCTATTTGGAGCAATCAGTGAGGAATGATGAACTCTGACTGATAAGAAGCTTACAGCATCTTGCCTCTGATTAGTAATTATAAAAGCCAGATGGTTTAGTAAAGATGCCTCTGCTTACAAAAACTAAAAAGCAGGTGAAAAAATAAAAATCACATCATTCCTCTTCATCTCCCACTATTATTAAAGCAAGAAGCCTCTTTAAAAAATCCAGTCTGAATAATTATTTTCCACTCTTTCCATATCAGCAATCTTCATCATATTAATCTTCACTTTATCCCTGATTAACCAAAAACTGAGAAAGGGGTTTAGCTTGGAGATTCCACATTCTTAAACTCTAAGTTTGATTAATATTTTTATATTATACAGTGTTTTATATTACAGAAGACATTGTTTTTAAATTTTATATTGGATAGTAGAGTGGAAGATTTATCAAAATATATATTTTACTCATCAATAGTCTATATGTATATGATTAAAGAATCATTCAAAATATTCATTTATTTAATTTATAATAGGGACCTGTAAGAAGAAAGAAGTAGATGATTACCCAACTGAGACAAAATGTTAAGATATTCAAGAACATTGTATTATACATTCTTCTGAATTATCAATTACTTATGCATCAACAGAGCCATGTAAAATCAGCATGTCATTTGGAAAATTAGACGGGAAAAGCAAATGTATTTTTCCCCAAGCAACATGATTAAGGAGATGATTTTCAGTGACTGAAGAAACAGCATTTTTTTTTTTTTTTTTTGCCTTGACATATTACCCTCACCATTTTCTGGAAGCTGCCATTTGTAATGATCTTATAAATTTACTTTGCTTCACAAATCACTTATTCAGCATCACCAATTCTCCCAAAGGAGAAAATTATTTACACCTAAGGAAAAGCAAATGTTTGACATTTTTAAGAAATGGATACATTTCGTGCATTGTGTGAGGAATTATTTTCTCAGGATCCAGGACCATATGTTTACTATTTTCTTTAAGTATTTTATCACAATTTAAAATAGTGTTTACCACGGACATCATGTATTTAAGTAGTTGAAATTCTGTCATGAAATTGCACTTTAAAATAACACAATTTGTATATTTACATTATATTAGAAAAGACAGCTTAGCTTTAAAAAAAGATAGGCCGGGCGAGGCTGCTCACGCCTGTAATCCCAGCACTTTGGCAGGCCTAGGCGGGCAGATCACGAGGTCAGGAGATCGAGACCATCCTGGCTAACATGGTGAAACCTCGTCTCTACTAAAAATACAAAAAAAAAAAAAAAAAAAAAATAGCTGGGCACGGTGGCGGGTGCCTGTAGTCCCAGCTACTCGGGAGGCTGAGGCAGGAGAATGGCGTGAACCCAGGAGGCGGAGCTTGCAGTGAACCAATATTGCGCCACTGCACTCCAGCCTGGGCGACAGAGCGAGACTCCGCCTCAAAAAAAAAAAAAGATGGAGTACTACTTTCTGTAATGACAAAGGGCCTCATTTCAGAAACCATTATAAACTTGGAGAAAAACCATAAAAATCAACCTTATGAAGAGTTAAGAGTGACTAAAAGCAGGCAAGAACGGGAAGGAAGGTACCCCTAAGAGAAAGGAAATATACTAGGTAAGACGTATTTAATTGGTAGTTCCCTTGAGACCTCCGCAAATTTGGTCCATAGAGAGATGAAACTGACACAAAAATCAGCCATCTTATTCCTGAAATTGGTTACTAAGAGAAAAATTTCTGGAAAGAAGGAAGTCACTGTTTGATGTAAACTAAAAATGAAGTCTAAGCTCCCTACTAGCTGAAAATGGACCCCCTCTTGACCAACACAAATCTTGACAACTAAATTTTCAGCCATGATTGTTTAAGGGAGGTTGGACATGCCCCATGATATCCTCTTCTTTTTGGAGTTTAGGCACAACTGACCAGTGCTCATGTAAAACGGAGATTATAACACTGACAAACACACTCCTTATGGCAATGAAATTCCAAATTACAAATAAGACCCAATGCCATGCAAGGCAAAGGTTAAGTCAAGCCTGCTGGCCATCAATCTTGCTACATAGCACTGTTATCTTAAAACATTCCTGTCTGATGACTCCAAGTTTTAGAGAGAGTCTTACTACTTTAACCAACTGCAAATTAAAGAATCTGAATCCACCTAAAACTTGGGGATTCCTGCTTCAAGATATCCTGTCTTTTTGGGCCAAAACAATATATACTTTCCATGTACTTATTTATGTCTTTGCCTGTAACTCTGGCCTCTGTAAAATGTATAAAACCAAACTGTAATCCAAACACTTCGGAGACTACTTACTTAAGGCTTCTTGGGTTTGCGTTTTCCCCAGGCTGCGGTCACTCATAATGGCTCAGAATAAACCTCTGAACTACTTTATAGAGTTTGGATTTTCTCTGAACAGTAGTATAGCAAAATCAGGTAAAAAAATTCCATCACATTCTTAGATGACCTCAAAATGCACATGAAGCTGGATATGGTGGCTTTTTGCCTGTAATTCTGGCACTTTAGGAGGCTGAGGTGGGTGGATCACTTGAGCCCAGGAACTCGAGACCAGCCTGGGCAACATAGCAAGACTCGTCTCCACAAAAATAAAAATAAATTAGCCTTACATGGTAGCTTGCGCCTGTAATCTCAGCTCCTCGGGAGGCTTAAGTGGGCGTGTCATTTGAGCCCACGAGTTTGAGGCTCCAGTGAGCCAAGATGGTGCCACCGCACCAACTCCAGCCTGGGCAACAGAGCAAGACTCTGTCTCTTAAAAAAAAAGAACAAAATGCACATGAGCAAGCTAATATCCCAAAGAAACCAAGGGAAATTAACACTTAGGGAAAGTCTTGAATACTCTCTGTTTACCTCTGCTGTGTTTTCTAGTTTACCTACTGAGGCCTTCACTCTTCTGGGATATGATCTTTGATAGAGGAATCTCAGATCTGAGCCCCAACTCTTTAGTCACCAGCCTTTGTCTTTTGAGTCCCAGATTAGTGTTTAAATCAAGTTTTCTAAGCTATCACAGGTAACATCAGAGTATTCCTGGGTTCTATGCTTATTTACCTCTTCGTCCCTTCCCCCTCCCTTCCTCACCCCTCCTCTTTCCTCCTATCCACTTCCCTTCCCTTCCTTTCTTTCTCTTTCTGGTTTCTAAGAATTGCTTCTATTTTTTTCTTTACCAGTTAAATTATCCATTTAAATAGTTAAACCTATATATATATATATATATAGGTTTTTTTGTTTTTGTTTTTGAGATGGAGTCTCACTCTGTCGCCCAGGCTGGAGTGCAGTGGTGCGATCTCGGCTCACTGCAAGCTTCGCGTCCCGGGTTCAAGCCATTCTCTTGCCTCAGCCTCCCGAGTAGCTGGCACTACAGGCACCTGCCACCACTCCCAGATAATTTTTTTGTATTTTTAGTAGAGACGGGGTTTCACCGTGTTAGCCAGGATGGTATCGATCTCGTGATCCTCCCGCCTCGGCTTCCCAAAGTGCTGGGATTACAGGCGTGAGCCACCGCACCCGGCCAGTTAAATATATTTTTATCTAGAATTCTAGGTAATCATTACTAGAAAGACTTCTTTGAGTAATTCACCTGCTATATTTCTTAAAAGAGAAGGTCATTTCACAGATATAACAAAGTATCGAGAAGTGTATCTTCTTGACTGGAGATCAAATCAATTCTGTCAGATGATTGGGTCAAAGGTTTTATGATTCGATCATTAGATTTTTTTTCTTTGTGAAATACTCATCAAAGGAATTTCACTGTGAAGAAAGTTGACTGATGATGCTACTTATCTTACAACTCAAACTTTAACTTTTCATGACATGTAAAGGAGCCTCAGGCAATCAACCATCTAACACTCAAACTTAATTTTTATTGCTATGATGTTGTCAGGTGCAATTTAACAGTGAATTTGCAAAATCATGAAAAAGACTTAGATAAATTTTATATTAGAGTAAGTCACAGCAGTTGCTTCCCATTTCCTCATAAAAAGCTCCACAAATACTTATGCATGTATAAATCACTGATTAAAAAAAAACTTTATCATGTTTACAAGAACACTGATTTTTTCACATTGTGGAAACCTGAAGTAAATGCCTGAAGGTAAGCTGTTGTAAATGCTGTTAAAACGTATTCATACTTTTCCTCACAGTATTGGTCCAATCTGCAGACATATCCCCATATTATCTTTAAATTGATTGAAAATTGAAATCATTTAAAAAAGTGTTTACCATTGATTTTACATTCAAGCACTCTATATAAGATATATCTTCATTAAGGATCTGTAAAATTGTCTGATCACTAACATAAACTACATAAACTGAAATCTATTATTTTCTTTAATAACCAGTTTTTTAAATATATCTTTGGAATACATTAAAAAACATTCCAATAGCAGCATTCAGTAAAATAATATATGCATTTTAAAATTTTCAAATTTTTGTTTATTACATTTAACATATCTATATCCTGAAGTTTCACCAGCTTTTCTTTTATTGTGGTAACATTATCTAACAAGATGTTTTTATAACCTATCTTGTAGGAAATAACATAAATTTTCCTATTTTATGCTTATTGTATTATTAATAAGTCTCCTTTTTAGCCAGAAAAAAATGGATGCAAAGCCAAATTATCATGTTTTATAAAAAGAATTTGATATTGAGTAACATATTTGAATGATTAAAAAATAATAAAATAGAACTGAAGGGTACAAAAATAAAAATAAAAATGGTATCCCAATACAATTCTCCATCATGACCCTTTAAAAGTAACCACTTTTAAAAACTATTATTTTAAACCTATTGATGAAATTTACATAGCGTACATCTATGCCCATTTTGTAATTACAGATAATATTTATTTATCATTCAGTGACCAGGAATTTAACTCATGAAAACTATTTCCAATTCTTCATTCACTGTTCTCAAATTTTATGTGTTCTGAAATTGTTTAATCTATGTGAGATATTTTATAATTATTTCTCTTTCTGTAAGTATTAGAAATTATATTTTAATTTTCTATTAAGCATGACAATGGAATGTATATGTCTACTGTTTTCCTTCCTCTGCAATCTCCTCTTCACTTCTCAGCTACTGTTTGTAATACTGTTTCAACAACATTGAAAAATTGTATAATGTTTACATTATCATCAGTAACTGCAATTCAATTTTCTCTCTTTTTTCTATAAGTTTATTCTAAAGGGAAAACTACCGAATAACATTTACACTATTGTAATTTTGTAAATATTAATTTATCCTAAAAGGTGAAATTAAAAGAGCAGAAAAGAGGATGTAGCTAAAATATACTTAATCTGTTATTCCAGATTAATGAGTCAGACGGAACTTTTTAAACTGGCATTCATCAATCCAAAATTGTACCATAGTATGTTTGATGTATAATTGAAGGATTATTTAAAGTAAAATTTTATTTTTCTGGAGTTTTCAATTGTTATTCTAATTTTCTTTTTGTCTTAAGCTATGACACCATTTGATTACTAATAGTATCTATCTAATAGAAAAAACATACATAAGTCTATGTTTTTTCTAGGGGTTCCTGACCTTTTCTCATTTCAATTGATTGCATGCATGCTCACCTTGCTACTCAACTGTCAACTTGATGCTTGTTTTTCTTCCCCTCTAGAAAGAAATTGTCGGGGTCTATATCTAATATTACTATTATTTTGGATCTCTTTATTGTTTTGAGGAAATATATTCCTGAGAATATTTTTAAAGTTTGGAAAACAGGTTAACCTTTGAATAATATAGCAATATATATTTTGGCTATTTTTCTTTGGTCTGAAATTGTGTTTTCATAATCATGTGCCCTTAGAAATCTGAGATATTGATCCTTTTGCAGTCAGTATTGTTAATGCAATGTTTGATTCCAATATGATTCCAATTTCTTGTAGCTATCCTGCTCTTGGCTTCTTGAAACTTTAAGCATCCTCTTGTCTTTATTAACTCTCATATGTGCTTCAATTTGGTTATCTTTTATGTGCATTGCAAACATTCACCATTTTGTTTTGTAGTAACTAAGTGCAATTTCAACCTTGATATCATATATGATAAAATGACAATTTTGTAAGTCAGGCTCTAATATTAGAATAAATATACTTGCTCAGTATTTCTTTGCTAAAGAAGGCAAAAAACATGCTAAATAATTAGTCTTGAAGAATGACATGAAGGTGACATATTTAGGTTGTCATACTTCAGGGTTTTTAGCAAAATTGGAACTGGAATTTATTTTCATTTCAATAAATACACAATTAAGGTAAACATTTGAATATGTTTTCTATCAAATATCTTGGTATACTTTGATAATGCTTTTGCATTCCTTGTTGTCAAAGTCTTTAAGAGTTACATCAGGAGCAATTCCATACCTTTCATAGTCTTAATTATTTCTTATCTTTACATTCTCAAATGTCTTGTGCACTTATACTGGCGTCATGAAAGCTTATGCTTCAAACTTATACTTTTAAGATATCTACAAAACAAACTAAAAATAAAAAATATTTACCAATCAAAATGGAGAAAATGGCTTATGATTAGTTTATTTATATGCATGTGTGGCAAAGCATTTGGAGAGTATAAAAATTCAAAATGTTTCTCTAAATATTTGAGTAAAATTAATTTTTCAGCGAAAATCTCCATATTCCATATTGATTTTCTAGTTTCCTGCATATGAATGTAATTCCAGGTACCCTTCTTTCGAGAAGCAGGGAGGCACATGAGTCAGAGGGCCCATGAAACAAAAGTAATCCGATTGCCATGAGTAGCTTTTTTTTTTGATGCTTGGGTTCAAGAGATATTTCTATGGTGATTCATCATTGGAAAAACAGTTATGTAGCATAAATGCAACAAATGTGTTAGGGAGGTTTCTTACTCTATCTCTCATTGTATGCTTATGGCATATGGCCAAAAGGCAATTCTGTAAATTCTGTTGTATTAGGAGGTGGCAAAATTCTGTGGTCTAGGTGGGTGGTACACTTGTACTATGGATTAATTTATGGGTAGCTATTAAGAGCATTCAGAGAATGAGTGCACTGCTTACCTTTCAGAAACTTTTCCATAAATATTGTGCCTCTCAGCTGAGCATTTCATAAATATTGACCAGGAGTAGATTTGAGGTTATATACCCTGACAGCTAATTGAATTGCAACCATTCTATACTGATGATTCAGTACAGAATAACATTCACGATGGTCAGCTGAGCTGGCAAAAAAGAATAAAAATGACTTGTGAAAGCTGAGGTAGCAGAAAGGAAAGATACCACAATAGAAAACAATACTAATGCAGCACTGAGGTTGCCCTAACAATAACCGAAGGACAGGTCTACATTTCTCTGTTTAAGAAAATTACAGAGGAAAGACATCTGTTATCAAGATTGTAATAATCATACCAAAATTTCAATGAGCACAAAACGTTTGCTCCTAGATAAAACACGTTTTGTGTTTTTTATGTTAACATACTGTTTGGGAGTGGGGATAAAACAGAAACACTTAAAACGAGAAAATTTCACAAAAAATCTAAAATGTCTAGCTTTCTTAATATGACAACACTAGATTTGCAATTCTGAATGATAGCATTTAGTTGGAGCTACATATAGGTTGCCTCATTTCTAATTTAGATGGTCCTTGTTACATCGCTGGCCCCTGTAGGTATTCCTACCAAAATTATGCTAATATGTGCAAGCTGGGGAGATTTTTCAATTGTTTAAATTGATGCATAACATGCATACAATAAGTTGCATATATCATAAATCTAGAGTTTCGTGAACTTTTACAAGGTAAATAAAGCCATGTAACCATATAGGACATAATCAATACCCCAGAAGCTTCTCTTATGGATATCAGTTATTAACTTACACACAAAAGTAAATAATATTCTGAGCCCTCACATTATATAGAATAGTGTGTATATATATATATATATAAAATAGAATAGTTTTGCCTGCTTAAATTTCACATACTTTATATAAAGCACATACTCAGTATTACGACCAAATAGCAGTAGTATTAGTTTTCTTCTTCATTGATGTATGGGATTCCATTTTATTAATATATTAAAAGTATTTTTCCATTTTAGTGTTGATACACATTTTAATCAATTCCAGATATTCGTTGTAAATAAGGAAGCCAATACAAACATTCATGTACATGGCTTTTGATGACTTATGGCCGCATGTCTGTTGGGTAGATTCCAGTAAGTGAAACTGTTGAGTCATAGAGTATGCTTTTGTTCAGTTTAGTGAATACTGCGATTTTTTTCCTGCCCAAATTTGTACTTCAGAATATTTGAGAGTATTAGACGCTCATTATTTAGTGTCAATTTATTTTGCATTTATTTTTAGTCTATTCCATTAGGTATAAATGGGTATCTCATTTTGGTTTTCATTTGAAAATTATCGATGACAAATGAGGCAAGCATTTTCTCATAGGATTATTGAGTGTTTTCTCATAGGATTATTGGGTGTTTTCTCATAGGATTCTTGAGTATTTCCTCATCATCTTTAGTCAACTGCCTATTCAAGACTATTTTCCATTTTTCTCCGTTTTCTTTCTTTCCTTTTTTTTTTGTTTTTTTTTTTTTTGAGACAGAGTCTCACTCTATCACCCGGGCTGGAGTGCCATGGCACAGTCTTGGCTCACTGTAACCTCTGCCTCCTGGGTTCAAGGAATTCTCCTGCCTCAGCCTCCCGAGTAGCTGGGATTACAGGCATGCACCACCATACCCAGCTAGTTTTTGTATTTTTAGTAGAGACGGCTTTCATCATGTTGGCCAGGCTGGTCTCAAACTCCTGACCTCAGGCGATGCACCCGCCTCAGCCTCCCAAAGTGCTGGGATTACAGGCGTGAGACACCACGCCTGACCAATTATTTTCCATTTATTTGAGAGGGTTTTCCCTCTTTTCTTATGGATCTGAAGGAATTCTTCATACATTTTGAATGCAAGTCTATTGTTTGATATATGAAAATTATTTGAAAACAAAAGTTCTTAATTTTAAGGAAGCCGAAGTTATAAAAACTGTCATGTCTGCTTAGTGGGCTTTCATTTCCTTCAACAAATCTTTGTTTGCCCCAAGATCATGAAGATAATCTATCGTGTTATCACTAAGCAGTTTTATAGTTTACCCTTCACATTTAGGACAAAACTCTGTCTGGAGCTGCTTCTGTCTTTGTGAGGTACTTTTTAATGTGTTTTTCTCTATATGTATCAAATAAACCTAACGTCTTTTACTGGAAGACTATTGTTTCATTCCCTGTATTTCAGTGACATTTAGGTAAATCAAATAACTATATGTGTTTAAGTGTTTCAGGAACCCATTTTTCTTCCATTGATTGATTCATCTTTACTTTCGCCCACATCAAGTTGTTTTACTTGTTATGGCATTATAGCAAGCCTTGATATCCGGTAGTATATGCTTTCCAAATTTTATCTGTTTAAATATTGTAGAATCAGTTTTCAATTTCAACAAAACTGCTTATTGGAATATTTATTGGGAATATATTAACTCTATAAATGGATTTATGAAGATATAAAATATTTACAAATTGAGTAATTTAAACCTTGAACATGGTATACCTTCCATTTATTGATATCATCAACAATTTGTCTTGGAACCGTGAGGCACTTTTTGGAGTCACTTAAACAATTTTAGTAAATGTTTTCTTGGTATTTGATGTTTTCTGATGTTATTTTCAGTGGTTTCCTTTTAAATTACAGTATTTAATTATTTTTTACTAATATGACCTATTTTGTCCATTTTTTCAGTGGACTTATTAAACTTATGTATTCAATTTAATATATTTATTTCCAGATTTTTGAATATTCTGTATTAAAACAGGAAGTAACAATATTATAATTTCTTCCTTTTAATACTTTTATTTTTTTAAATCCTGTCTTTCTATTATGTGTAGAGCTTTGACCCAATTTCAATAGAAACTGTAATAGCGGATTTTTTTCTCTCATTCTTCTTTTCAGGTGGAAAGCATTCAATATTTTATCAGTAAGTATAAGTTGCTTTGTTGCTTGTTTTTAGATAATATTTATCAGATTAAGAATATCCATTTCTACTTATGCATATTTTGAAAATAGCTATAAATTGTGATGTGTTGTTTTCAGGTGCATTTGCTGGTTTTATTGAGAGGATAACATACATTTTTCTGTTTATTCCATTAATTAAAGAACTTCTTGCAGTCCTGAAATCTGTCACAGTTGGTCAGATTTCCACATTTTAGATTTTCCTATTTTACATATTGCTAGATTCCATTTACTAATTCTGTTTAAATTTTACATATATGTTTATGGGAGAGAGTTCCTTGACATTTATTCCATCAAAGCCTTGTCAGGTATCACTATCAACAGGTATCAGTATCATAATCCTGTGGGCCTCATGAAAGAAATTATAAAGTGCCTTCCATCTTATAATTCCCTGGAGAAAATTTTGTAAGATTAGTATTAAATCTTTTCTAAGTTTACAGAAGTCATTGATGAAGCATATAGGCAGAGATCATTTATTCATTTATTTCGTGAAAGAATCTGACATAAATTTAATTTCTTGACTAGATAAAGGGTATCCAGATTTCCTGTCAGTTTTACATTTTTCATTTCCAAGGAATATGCTTATTGTACCTATGATTTCAAATCTAATTGAATAAAATTGCTTCTATTATCTTCTTTCCTTCTTAATAACTATGGGGACTGTAGTGATGCCCTCTTTTCTTTTCTGATACTGTTATTTGTATTTAGTTTCTCTTGTTCTCTTGCTCTCTTTCCCTTATTAAATTTTTTAGATTATAAATTTTATTCATTTTATGAGAAGAAAATTTTGTCTATTATGCTTATTTTTTCTTTTTTGTATCTGCTTTCTATTTCATTGATTTCTGCTATACATTCTTTTGTTCTTTCACTTTATTCTGGCTGTAATATAATCATTTTGTATGGCTTCTGGAGGTGGGTGCTTAAGTCAGTGACCTTTAGGCATCTATGTATCTAGTTATTTACCTATCTACCTGCATTCAAGGGCATGATTTTCACCTAAGCACTGTTCTAGCTGCATTTTGCATATTATGTCTTTTTTATTACATTCAGTTAAATATTTTTTAAAACTTATAAAAATTATGTTTGTGAGTTATTTTGAAGTGTTTCCTTTAATTAACATTTGGACATTTTGTATTTTTGTGTGTGTGTGTTATTGAATTCAAAAATTCATCTGTGGCGAGAGAATATACTCTGCATGAGTCCAATTATTTGAAATTGGTTGAAGTTTGCTCTCTGGCTCTTATAGAATATGTTTTCACATTCTTTTCATGCATATGTTTTGAAATTGTTTTCATGTATAATTGCAGTTACTGGGTATTCTTGTTAAGCTGAATTTCTTAATATTACAATTCAAATATTCAAATTATTTTTTTATTTTTTGGTTTGCTTGTTCTATGAGTTACTGAAAAATTATGTTAAAAACTACCATTTTTATTTATGAATGTATTTACTTCTCTTTTTTTGTTTTGTTAGCTTTCACTTTCCTTTCCTAGGCAGATAGAGTAAGAGACAGATTGCTTTCTTTTAATCATGTATTGACCCAACCTGAGGTAAGGTTGCACATCTGCTAAGCCTTAGTCTAGCTCTAATTAATCCCCAGTCTTAGGACTTAGCTAACAGGAAAAGTGGTCCAACTGGGAGACTGGTGCAATCAGTAGGGTGTTACCCACTGCAGGGATCTGGACCCTAAGTCTTCAGTGCTGTTATTCAGATAACTTTTGTTTTGTCTCTTAGCTTCATGTCCCAAATAATTTGTGAATTTGACAAATATTTTGAGGGGCAATCTGACAGGCCAGAACTTCAATTAATGACTCTTCGTAGTAGAATTCTGGTCTCTTAATGTGTCATTGTTATAATTATTGTTTTCTTTCTCGTTTATGTAACAACCAAAAGCCCTGCTTCTTTTTTCACCTTCTGTTTCACATGTTTGTCCAAATCATGGGAATCTCAGCCCCCTACTTGTGGTCTGGTTTAAAAAAAAAATAAAAGTGACTGCAGAATGCTGGCTAACCTCGCTTCACGGAAATGCCTTCTCCAGCATTTTGTCCCTTTAATTTGCCGTTTCCCAGCAGTTCTCTGATAACTTCATATGCATAATTTGTGGTTTTATGTAACTTTTTCAGTTATTCTCAGCAGGAATTTTAGTTTGTCATTAGCAATTCCCTGGTATCAAGAAGCTTAAGTAACTCTCAAAATTTTAAATAGATACATGAGGAATTGAATTTTCAAATCCAGGTTATCCTCACTTCCAAATGACCCTTATACGTGCTCCACAAAGAGCAACATATATGTGAATATGTGCCTTCTACATTTGAAACATTGTATAACAAGCTTTCAAATATGTGATCTCATTTAGCAATGGTCATATCACCTTTATTATTATAAATGAGGAAACAGCAAGAGGGGAGTTAACACTGAAAATTAGAATACTAATAAGTGGTAAAATCAAGACTCAATTTGAAACTACCTAACTTCAAAGCACTATGGAGACAGTGACAAAATGAAAATAAAGAAGGTTTATAAAATGACTAACCAAATAATTTACACTCCAACTTCACACCATAGTTATGGTGACCCCACAATTTTAGCAGTGTGATCCTATTTAACACCAATTAGGTGTATTAAAAGTTTGAACTATTAAGACGTAGATCCTAGTTACTTTTTCTGTGTTAATACCTTAAAACAATCATTTATTATCTCTCAGACTTTCTAAGGGTTAGGAACACAGCATGGCTCATAAGGACCATTCAGGTTGAGGAACTCTCATGAACTCTCATTTCAAAGGCTTTTTCACTCCTATTTGAATGCGTGGGCTGGAAAGACTCAAATAGCTCGGATTCCTCAGGCAGCTCCATCTGTATGTGGTTTCCCTATATGGTCTTCTAAGTATGGCAGCGTCAGAATAGCTGAGTTTCTAACCTGATGACTCATGGCTCCAAAAGGCACATGAGCCAAGAGAAAGATTCTAGCCAGTAGTAGGCTTGTTGCCTTTCATGATCTAGCCTCAAAAGTCATGCACTGTCCTTTTCTCTGGATTCTGTTGGTCAAAGCAGTTACACAAGTTCATTCAGTTTCATTGGGAAGAAACATAGATGCCCCTCTCAATAGAGAAATGGGGTTGGAATATGTATTGGTGCAGCCATCTCTGAAAAATATATTTTGCAATATCTATGCTGTCATAGATTAAAAAAATAAAAATATAATGTTTTCTAGTTTCTTGAAGCTAGAAACTATGTTGACTAAGTAGAAAATAACATTTCCATACAAATTAAGTAAAAATTGACTTACCAGTTGAGGATGTATCACTTTAAAATAAAAATAAAAGCAAAAGTTTCCAATCTTAAATTCTAGGGCTTTTATCAAGGTACAGCAACAGTAAGGGATCTGTGGCAGTTGGATTCCCTTTGGCTTTAGGGAGATGGTAATTTATCAAAAAACATATATATAAAATCTCCCTAAGATTATTTATTTACGTGTGTCTCTGAGTCTCTGAATTTTCCCTACTGTCTGAAATAAAATTTCCTCTTGCTGACAAGTAAAAGAAACACTAGCCAGAACTAATCAACCTTAAGTGGACATCTGTGAATAGATCCTAGCTGTAGATTTATACCCTGTCACATGGCCATTAGCACAGTTACATCTTACTATTTATGAAGCATTTTTCACTTAGAAATATCTATCCTCAGCAGCTAGCAGAATATGTGTAAGTCTAGCAAGCCTGTGTGTGTGTGTGTGTGTGTGTGTGTGTGTGTGTGTGTGTGTGTGTGTGTCCAGCTTAAATTGCAGAATCTCATGAATTATTCTCCTTGCTCTAATCAGGATAATGAGAGAGAAACCATCATTGCTTAAGTGAGAATGAAGTTTCCAGAAAACAAGATCTACAAAACAGACATTGCTTCAAATTTGTCTTCTGTTTTCACTCTCTACCTCGCTGCACTTTTCTTCCAGGGTTGCCCTTTTGACTTGCTATTTCGTCCATCTTTAATTCATTTTTCGGTTCTACAAACATCATGTGACACTGTCAGCCTTCATATAATCCTTCCTTTTCTTTTTGTAAAAAACCTTGATGTACTTATTTCCTATAAAAATCAGCGAATGTTATTTTAAACTAATATTATTTTAGGTTAATATTAGAATAAAAACTTCCATCTTTTAGGTTTATTTGTGGCAGGTTTTACTCTAGGTGCTTGTTATATATTATTTCATTTGAGTAAAACCACTCTAAGGGATAGGTATTATTGTGCAAATGGTAAAAATAAAGAATCTAATGCCCAAGTAGGTGAAATTAAGTTTATCTAGCTAGTAGAAGAAGTGGATGAAATCAAATCTAGTATGTCTGTTTAATAAAACCGGCATTTTTTAATGGAAAATCGTCAGAGATTTTTCCAAAACATCTCCGTTTTCTTTTTAGATGTCATCCTTTTCAGTTCTAGAACTTCCATTTAATTAATTTTCATGGATTACAGTTCTCTAGTTAATTTTTGACATCTTTCTACTCCTTTTTCCCCTTTTGTCCTCTGTTTTCTTAATCATCCTTAATTATAATTCTCGTCTGCTAATTCCATTATCTGATCACATGCAGCTTTGCTTCTGTTGTCTGTGGTCTTCCCTCTTGGAATACCTACTGATTTTTTATTGCATATTGGACATTGCGTATAATATGCCTAAAGCTACAGATTAAGTTTTACTTCAGCAGAGTGTGCTTCACCTCCCTTTGCTAGGTAAGTAGAGTAGTGGCTAATTACAAGTTTAATAAAGCTCAGTCCTTCACTACTATTCTAGCAGCATGTATTAATACATCCAATCGGCTCTTAACTAATCGTTTCCTGATCTCAGCTCTGGTTGTAAAGAGATGTCTAGCTTATATATTTTATACTTAAGCCCTATGTAATTTCAGAATTTGGCAGATGTCTTAAAGACAAAACCAACTACATATGATTAGATTGCTTCAAGTCTTCAAATGTGTCTCTTCAGCCACGAGGTCATCCAGTGCCCCAGCAGCAGTCCTCTAGGCAAAGTGCACATTCTCCCAGTCTCCTGCTTTTTGCAGTCAGTAAGCACCCTAAGGAAAAGTGGTTCCAGAAGTTAGCCCGCCTCTTGGAGGCCCTTCCTTTTTGCAATATAAACCCCATTGGTTCTCCATTGCATCAGCACCTTGCTGATGCATTATACAGACAATTTGTATATTTTATCTAATTATTCTGTGCTACAAGCAATTTTGTCCTACTGTATCTATTTTACTTTATTTTTTGTTTTTACTTCATCTAGGTTAGAATCTACTACATTATGTTGCTGTTCTCCCTTCACTATATTATAATTTCCATCTCCTATTTTAATACCCGTCCACCTCCTCAGATATGCATTGCATTTTTTGAGAGAATACAAAGGACACTTTAGTGATAATAAAACCTGTTCTTGACTATAAATAAAATTTAAAACAATAGGACAGAGTCCTGAAACTACATCAGCCAGGAAAATACTTACAGGAAATTGTTTTAAAAGGGCAAAGCAGTAGGCTATGTTCTAGGATGAATTCAACATGATTGGCCCAAGAGGAAAAGCAGTGTTAAAATATATATATATATATATATATATATATACACACACACACACACATATATATACACACCCATATATACATATATACATATGTATGTGTATATATATATGTACACACACACATATATGAGAAAAATACATTGATTTGTTGGGTCCCTTATAAGTATATCTCCTGCTTTGATGTAAAACTTACTAGAAAATAAAATTAATTATCATTTTAGTTCTATATTTGAATGATCTTGTTTCTTTGTGGTCAACATTTGTGAAAAATGAAGAAGAGACACAAAATATCCAACAAAAAGTGCATGCAGCTGAATATAAGAGTGACTCAGAAACAAAGGAAAATTAATGTTGTCTAAAGTCCCCAATTTCAGGGAGAATATGAGACTTAAAAGAACTATTTAGAATTTTACACAAACTGAACACACAAAGGAGGGAACACTAGATAAAATACAAAAAGAAAAACTGGAAACTATAATCTCAGATTGATCTGAGTACACAAACTTGACAGAGCATGTATGAAGTGAGAAATGACATTTTTTGCTATATTATTGGATTGCCAAGAAGCAGTTTTCTAATTTTATTGAAAAAGCAGTTGGTCATATTATATTAACACTGGTGCCACAAGACTAACATAATTATTCTGCATTCCTCCTTACACAGAAAAAGCTACTGTTTTTCATACACATATAGGTTCATATAAGCAACTTCATAGAATAAGAAGACATGAGGCCGGGCACGGTGGCTCACGCCTGTAATCTCAGCATTTTGGGAGGCTGAGGCGGGCGGATCACGAGGTCAGGAGATCGAGACCATCCTGGCTAACACGGTGAAACCCCGTCTCTACTAAAAATACAAAAAATTAGCCGGACATGGTGGCGGGCGCCTGTAGTCCCAGCTACTTGGGAGGCTGAGGCAGGAGAATGGCGTGAACCCAGGAGGCGGAGCTTGCAGTGAGCCGAGAATGCTTCACTGCACTCCAGCCTGGGAGACGACCGAGACTCCGTCTCAAAAAAAAAAGAAAAAAGAAAGAAAATATGAAATGATACGTGCTTATTTAGGGCATTTGTCAATGTTCTGGGACTATGTTCGTTTAAGATACAAAATTTACCCTTGAAATGTTTGCTTAAGGAAAGAATGCCTCCAGAGACTACATCCTAACTTTTTCTGCATATTGGCAATGACAGCAGCAATACTAACAATAAAATATGTATATTATTTTATGAGGGTATGTCTAGATTGTGAGATGAGAAAAATATGAAGAAGGTCGTACAAGATTGATATAAAGAGCAACTTCAAGTATATGTCTTGAAAGAACAATTCCATAAAATTAGAGCTGTCAAATTAAATGACTTGTCCAATAAATGAAAAAAAAGTTGCACACAAAGTATGAATTGGGAAATACACTTCACTAATATTTTTTACAGTTTTAATAGAGCTATCAATTTACATATGTGACATAATATTATACAAAGTAAGTAAAACAGACATGACCATATCTTTGATGTATAATCTGAGACAGAAAATTCATTTATATAATTAATTTCTCTGGATATACTATTTATCTTTTTATATTTATTTTGGATTCATTAGAATATCTTTAATTTTTTATCTGAAATTTAAAATAAGTTACCAATACATTTTGATTGGCAGGTAGGTGTTGATGGTTAGCATTTTGATAACCAAATCTCATTCATCTTCATTTTGCATAATACCTTATTCCACTTCAAGAAACTTTCCCAAGCGTATTATTTTCTTGGTTGATATGTTAGCATAGTGATCTACAACTTTTAACATACAAAATTAATTAAAAGTGCTAATTTAGTTTGATTCAATCCTAAAAAAAAGTTTATGTAAAACTCTAGTTTCTTCTCTCATAATCTGCAGTATTCCTTTTCTTTTTGAACACCGTAAACTGTGAAAACAGTCACATTGTCAAATCATATTCTTAGAAATTAACTGAAATCAGTCATTCACTAAACACATATTTAATTAAATGCGTTATCTTTCTCAGTGCTATTTATAGTCTGGCTCTTGTTTGAAATTTAATATCCTTTTATAAAGGACCCTGGAGAATAAATGAAGGCGTGGAAATCAATTATTATTACTTTGTAATGACAAATCTTATTGTTAAAACTCTCTTGTTTTTTAAAATAATTTCTACCCCCTATCTCTAGTTTCTCTTGTTGGAGTCATGTTAGTTTAGGAAATTTTAAGTTAATTTCTATATAATAGCAGAGGGAAAAAAAAAACAACAGTCATTTATTGTGATAAATAAGCTGAACTCTTGTTTCCCAAAAAATGGCTCAAGACCTGAAATCACAAAGACATATAGAATCCAAACTTCCAGGTAAGTCGTGGGATTAATGATTAACGCTTTCATTCCAGTTTCTATAGCGTCTATAACTGTTCCTTATATATTTCTTCTACCTCTTCTCTTTGTTTCTAACATAGAACAGTCAGAGGAAAATATCTGCATTCTACCATTGCCTCTATTGGCTTCAGTTATTCTTTCTCAATTTGTGAGTGATTTAAGAGTGCAGCCATATCCCAGAAAACAACTTTCAAGTCTGCTTTACGTATTTTTGGTCAATAATAAGCTTCTAAATCCCATTCTTCACAAAAACTCTGAAAGTTGAGCCATAGAAAGTAACTACGGAGTTGCTGGTTTAGAATACTGTTCTGTTTGGCATCGAATTAATGGGGACTTGCTGGGATTAACTGTGGTGATGAAATAATTGTAGCAAAAGAGAAATCTAAGGGAAGGAAAACAAAGGACATTATTAACCTAGCGCCAACCCTCAGGCTTAATTTCTAGTATTATAGAGTTTCGGTTCAATCTGTTAGTAAAAATAAATTAAACTCTTATAAATGAAATTTTAGTTTTTCACTCTTTATCTCCCTGTTAATGTGAGCCATTCCACAGAGTGGAAATAAATCAGTCACTAGAGGACAAACTTAATCTCTTGGCAACCAAACAGGAGCTAAGGGAACGCAGTGCCTCTTGAATGGAAATATTTTTCAAATGAGCAGTGGACCAAAGTAATTCACATGGAATGAATATAAATTTTCTTTTCCATTAGCATACAAAGCTATTTTCCCACCACCCATACAAACCACAAATCACAATTGGTTTTTTAGACTTATCCATATGACACATTGTCCGGTTTTAGTAATATTAATTATATCACAATTAATTGTATTATATAGTAATGTAAGTTAGAATATACTATAATAGTAATATTATATTATATTAGTATTATATACTATTATATTATTATATACATTATGTTAATATTATATTACATTAATATTATATACTATTATATTAATATATTAATATTATATACTATTATATTGATATTATATTATATTAATATTATATACTATTATATTGATATATTATATTATATTATATACTATTATATTGATATATTATATTATATTATATACTATTATATTGATATATTATATTATATTATATACTATTATATTGATATATTATATTAATATTATATATTAATACTATATTATATTAATATACACTATTATATTAATACTATATTATATTAATGTTATACGCTATTATATTAATACTATATTATATTAATGTTATACGCTATTATATTAATACTATATTATATTAATGTTATACACTATTATATTAATACTATAATATAATAATAGTGATATAATTATATTATATTATATAATAATTATATTAACAATATAGTAATAATTGACATATTAATAATATTATTAATAATATAGTAATAATTAATACATTGATAATTATATTATAATCATTGTATAATTGCTATAATGATATTATATTAATATTATTAAATTGTATTATAATTATATTGATATTGTTATTATATATTATATTTCATATTAACATAATATACTATATTATATTTCATATTAACATAATATACTATATTATATTACATATTAACATAATATAATATATTATATTACATATTAATATAATATATTATATTATAATTAATTATATTATATTAATATTAATTTAATATTTGACAATTTGTCAGATGACTACACAGTAGCCCTCATAAATGTGAGCACTCAGCATGGATATAAATTTAAACTTTTGATATAAACTGCATAAAGCTAGCAGACCAATCTCCATGATCCTGCCTACTATATTTCTATTGATATAATTTCATATGTTAACTTGTTTTCAGCTAAGTCAACTTTAACTTTTTAATTTACCTGATCAAACCGTAAGTACCTTTTACACATAGCATGCTGGTTGCTGAATCTATTCCATGATTCCACAGTTCATTTGCTGCACTTAAGTACAAAAATATATATGTATTGCCAAAACTGATTGTCTTATTTACCCCCTTTCTCTAGATTATGAGGGTAATTTTTTAAAAATAAAGAGTGGTCTAAAAGAATACACAGAAAACAAAAATAAATAAAACACCAATATAAGAAAGATAGCCTTGCAGAAAAAGAACAGAGTCATCAAACACATATGGTTAGTGAAATTTGTTTTAGCAATAAGGATGCGATGTATTTTTTAAATGAATGAGATTGTTGACTACTCATTGAGAATGAAATATGCTAATAGTATACCTAGCTCAAAATAATATACATTTCTGATTGAAATGCACAATATCTATTTTAGATTGATTAAATATATGAGCACTAAGAAAATTTAAACGCGTATTGTTCATAAAGTTACAATAGAGAAGGTCTTTCTATGCAGAAAAAGCTTTCTACCAAAAGCAGAAGACATAAAAGTGACAGATGTGACTTCACAAAAATTCACCATAAAGACAAAATTATCACCAAATGATGAACTGGAGGATTTGCAACATAAATGCATTTATGAGATAAATTTCTTTAATGTACAAAAGACCTTACATATTATTACACGGGCAATTGAAGAAAAGAGGGTCCATGTATATTTTACACATATAAAATATATAAAATATGAAATATATATAATATATAAATATATAATATATACTGTAAAATGCTTTAAGTCACTAATGGTAAAAGACATTTAAATTACAAGAAAGAGAGAAATTAAAATATTTAACCTATCTATATGATTGGTATAATTTCCACACTTTCATTTCTGATTTTACTTATTTGAGTCTTCTCTTTTTCTTAGTCAGTCTCGCTAATGGCTTGGCAATTTGGTGATCTCTTTGAAAAACCAACTCCATTTCACTGATTTCTCTATTATTTTCCTATTCTCTATTTTTTCAAGATGTTGGACATTACTCAATAAAAGACAATGATTCATAAATGACAGGAAATAAAGGAAGCAAGCTCTATAATGGCTCCACTGTTCTGCTTTCAGAGAGTGGGGAAGGTCCATATGCTGTGTATCTACTCCTTTGTTGAGCCCTGGTATACACACAGAATTTATACATTAGAATGTATACCTGTGCCCCTGTGAGAAGTGACTTTACCAACTAGACTGTGGTGTTTATGGACTGTGCCTTTTGTTTTCACCTTAAAGTTTTGATTAGAAAACTATTTTCCAAAGTTAGTTTCATCAGTCCCTTTTTGCTCCGACTGCTTTGGTAGGACTCTGCCCCACAGTTGTAGTATAATTAGCTCTGTTGTTATGGCCTGTATTTTATCCTGGGACTCCCTGACTTCTCAGTTGGTAATTTAAATTTGCAAATATTAAAGCTGTCTTTATCAATGCTGCGACGTTCAGTGGATTGTGACAGTCATAGCTTTTCTGAGCTTTCAGTCATAGATTTCCTGGGCTTTCCACCACCACAGTGCCATATACTCCAGTGCCACATCAGCTCCACTGACCTAAAATATCCCGTTCTTCCTCTAGTCAAATACGCTCCTTGCTTCAACCCCCTGGTGATCACTGCACTGTATTCCCATCATCACAGTTTTGCCTTTTACAGGATTTCAAATAAATGGAATCATAGAGTAAGTAGGTTTTTTATCTGGAATATTTCTTATAATGGAACAAAACAGAAAGCCCAAACAAGCATCATCAGTTGATGTTTGACAAAGATTTAAAAGAAATGTAATGGAAAAAAGAAATCTTTTCAACAAATGTTTCTTGAACAATTGATATCTATATGCAAAAAGTGAACCTCAACACATATACCTTATATAATAACAAAAACAAAAGAAGCTCTATGATGTAGATCATATGTTAATATGCTCATATGCTTATTTTCCCTAAATATGTCTTCTTTAATGAGGTGTCTGTTAATTTATTTTGTCTATTTTTAATTGGGCTGTTCATTTTCTTAATTTTGAGTTTTAAATGGTTTCTTTAAATGTATTCCCAATACAAGTCCTTCATCAGATATGTGGTTTGCAAGGATTTCTCCTAACCTTTAACGTCCTTTTTTTGTCTTAACAGTCTCTTTCGCAAAGTAATAGTTTTTAATTTTTCTAAAGTCAAATTTATTAATATTCATTTACGAATGATGTATTTGGTTTTGTATTGAAAAAGTCATCACCAAACTCATTGTTGAATAACGTTTCTTCTGTTTTCTCAAATAAGTTTTATAGTTTTTGTGTTTTTCATGTAGGCCTATGATCCATTTTCTGTTCGTTATTGTATAAGGCATAAAATATGTGTTGAGTTTCATTTTTTTGCATATAGATGTCCAGTTGTTCAAGAACCATTCGTTGAAAGATTTCTTTTCTATATTAAATTTCTTTTAAATCTTTGTCAGAAATAAATTGATTATGCTTGTTTGGGTTTATCTCTAGGCTTTCTGTTTTGTTCCATTGATCTATGTGTCTAAACTTTTGCCAATAAATGGAACATTTTTCACTTTATCCTGATTTTATATCTGGGTTTCAAAACATTTTCACCTCAACAGAGAAAGGCAGAGAATCTCAACTGAACTGTTATTTGTTGCAAAGGAATGGTGATACATGGAATGTGAGTTTTATGAAAGAATTAAATTTAAAGATAAAATAGTATATCTGATATAATATTTTTCTGATGTGTTAATGATTCATAGCTACAGTCTTAACATTATGACTAAGAGATATATTTAGGTGGAAGACATAAGAAAGGTGGAAATCTTTCCTTTTTTAGTATGTTTAATGTCTATAGTAGATTTATATTTTTATTATGTGCATACAAACTAACTTCTGATTTTCATAATAAGGAATTATGAAGAACTTAAAGACTGTCTGAATTTGACTCTTTTTGCAAGAGAAAGGGAGAGATTGAAATATAGAGGATGTAAACCATGGTTAGTTATTTTAACATCAATTTCTTTAATAAATACTATTGGTTTCAGAGGTAACAAAGGCTTTCTGTAAAGTGTATGGACTACACTTAGGTTCAATACCATTCATGAAAACACCCTAATATTTGATTTACCAACTGGAAGATCAACATCCCTGTGAGCCACAAATGTGGGTAATTTAAAAAAATTCTTATAGACATGTGGCTAGTTAAGATTGACCTTATTTTGCCCATTACTTGGTGCTTTCACATATTTAACAAATACTGAGCAAATGTAATAATCCAGGTCTAGACACTGGGGATACAAAGATGTGTATCCACAAGTTTGCTCTTGAGTACTTTCAAACTTAAAATCGAGACAATATTTTCAGTTTTGAAACCAAACATTAAAGAACAACAAACTAAAAGAAAAAAATAAAATCTAAATTTTATAAAAAACATTTTGTCATTACTATATGTTGTGGCCTAGAAGAAATATAGTATGTCTTCAGTTTCATAGCTCTGGAAAAAAGTACACATTTTAATCTCATAGTGAACATGATTGGTACATATGAAATGACAAAACAAACCCTTTTTGTTTCTGAAAATTTTCCATCAAAAAAAGAAATTTTCCATACGATCTTCTTCAATTTTTATTTGACTAGAACAGAATTTGTAGAAGCAACCTCACTGTCATATGAAACAACAAGATCATTATTTCCAAAGAGTCTTCAAAGGTCCTTCAGTTACGGAACTGTGTTCAAAATATCTGACAAACTTCAATTTTGCAAAACCGATATGTATGAACATGTTCTGCTTCTTGCCTCCTGACAGTCAGTTAATTCACTGACTAAGTGTTAATACCTCATTGTTAATACCTCAGTGTTAACTTAGGATTGTTTGATAGTAATCTGTTTGTGTAATATTAACCAATGTACATATCTGTTTTCTCTCTCAATTTCATATTTATAAATTAGGAATAATGATAGGTCTAGCCTTTGGGTTGTATGAAGTAATGAATATATTTATATGAGGATACTTCAAAAAGATCTTGGAAAAATGAGATTCAAAGATAAAAATAAAAGATATTGACTGGGCATGGTGGCTCACGCCTATAATCCCAGCTCTCTGGGAGGCCAAGGTGGGTGGATCACGAGGTCAGGAGATCGAGACCATCCTGGTTAGCACGGTGAACCCGTCTCTACTAAAAATACAAAAAATTAGCTGGGCGTGGTGGCGGGCGCCTGTAGTCCCAGCTACTCTGGAGGCTGAGGCAGGAGAATGGCGTGAACCCGGGAGGCAGAGCTTGCAGTGAGCCGAGGTCGCGCCACTGCACTCCGGCCTGGGCGGCAGTGCGAGACTCTGTCTCAAAAAAAATAAATAAATAAAATAAAAAACAAAAGATATAAACTTTATTTCTCAACATAAGCTCCACCATGCTCAAGACATTTTTGTGATGATGCCAGCTTTTTACTTCATCCCTGAAGAACAAAGAATCCTAGAGTCCTAGGAATTTAACCATAATGACGCAGTCTTTTTTACATTATTACCTGAAGAAAAAATGGGTGCCCGTTACACATATTTTTAAGATTAGGAAACAAAGAGAAGTCAGCAGGCACCAAGTCAGGACTACAAGGTGGATGCCTAAGATTTTCTATCAAAATTCTCAACTAATTGCCCTTGTTTGATGAGAGGAATGAACAGGAGCATTGTTGTGTTGGAGAAGGACTCTTTTGTAAAACTTTCCTGGATGTTTCTCTGCTAAAGCTCTGCCTTAACACTCTCCAAACACTTTTTTTTCTTTGTTTTGTTGTTTTGTTTTTGAGATGGAATTTCACTCTGTCCCCCAGGCTGGAGTGCAGTGGCATGACCTCGGCTCACTGCAACCTCCACCTCCCAGGTTCAAGTGATTCTCCTGCTTCAGCCTCCCGAGTAGCTGGGATTACAGCCACGTGCCACCACACCTGGCTATTTTTTTGTATTTTTAGTAGACACGGGGTTTCACCATGTTGGCCAGGCTGGTCTTGAACTCCTACCTCAGGTAATCCACCCACCCTGGCCTCCCAAAGTGCTGGGATTACAGGTGTAAGCCACCACGCCTGACCCCGAACACTTTCATAATAAGTGGATGTCACCATTCTTTGGCCCGCCACAGAGTCAAGAAGAAGAATGCCTTGAGCCTCCCCAAACACTGTTGCTGTGATTTTTCCTCTTGACCAGTCTGCTTTTGCTTTGACTAGACCACTTCTACTTCTTGGTAGCCATTGTGCTGATGGTGCTTTATCTTCAAGATTGTGCTGGCAAAGCCATGTTCTATTTCCTGTTATAATTTTGCAAATAAATGCTTCAGGATCTTGATCTCACTTTAAAAATTTTCCAGTTCTCCACATCCTCTCCAGCACCTGTTGTTTCCTGACATTTTAATGATCGCCATTCTAACTGGTGTGAGATGGTATCTCATCATCACTGGCCATCAGAGAACTGCAAATCAAAACCACAATGAGATACCGTCTCACACCAGTTAGAATGGCGATCATTAAAAAGTCAGGAAACAACAGGTGCTGGAGAGGATGTGGAGAAACAGGAACACTTTTACACTGTTCCTGTAAATTAGTTCAACCATTATGGAAGACAGTGTGGTGATTCCTCAAGGATCTAGAACTAGAAATACCATTTGACCCAGCCATCCCATTACTGGGTGTATACCCAAAGGATTATAAATCATGCTGCTATAAAGACATATACACATGTATGTTTATTGTGGCACTATTCACAATAGCAAAGACTTGGAACCAACCCAAATGTCCATCAATGATAGACTGGATTAAGAAAATGTGGCACATATACACCATGGAATACTATGCAGCCACAATAAAGGATGAGTTCATGTCCTTTGTAGGGACATGGATGAAGCTGGAAACCATCATTCTCAGCAAACTATCGCAAGGACAAAAAACCAAACACCGCATGTTCTCACTCATAGGTGGGAATTGAACAATGAGAACACTTGGATACAGGAAGGGGAACATCACACACTGGGGCCTGTCATGGGGTGGGGGGAGCGGGGAGGGATAGCATTAGGAGATATACCTAATGTAAATGACGAGTTAATGGGTGCAGCACAGCAACATGGCGCATGTATACATATGTAACAAACCTGCACGTTGTGCACATGTATCCTAGAACTTAAAGTACAATAAAAAAAAAATAATTTCCATTGAAAGCTCTGCTTTTGTCTGCAGCTGACGCGGGTGCAATAGTTTTGGCACCCATCAAGTGGAACGTTTGCCTGTCTTTAATTTTTCAGTTAGAATTGTCTAAGCTGAGCCAGCTGAGAAGTCCACGATGTTGGCTGTTGTTTCTGCGGTTAATTGTCTGTCTCCTTCAATTAGGGCACAAACAAGATTACTTTTTTTTCCTTGCAAACTGATGTGGATGGTCTGCCACTGTGGGCTTCATCTTCAACGTCATCTCTTATATTCTTAAAACGAATTATCCATTTGAAAACCACTGATTTCTTCGGGGCATTGTCCTCATAAGCTATTTTTTTAAGCGACAATGATTTAACCATTCTTCCATCCAAGCTTCACTATAAATTTGATATTTGTTCTTGCTTCAATTTTAGCATAATTCAGGTTGTTCTGTTAGGAATTCTTTTCAAAGTGATTTCTTATCCTTCTTAATGCCTTAAACTAGATCTTGTTCAGACATGTGTAACAACTTAACATGAGCTTGTTTTGGTGCAGAAAAAATTTTAAATTTATGCATAGTTTTTTTCAAAACATAAATTTTTAATGAAAATTTATGAAAGACTCCTTGTATATGTAAAATGCTTATAGTGTGCCTTATATTTACTAATAAACTGATAAATGTAAGAAGTTTTCTATAATCACCATTTTAAATATGATTACTATTACCAAAATCTCTAGTGAATTACTCAATCTTCAACAGCTCATGTTGTTTCTATTCTGAAGCATTGTATATAAATATGCACTTTAAAGTAAAAATGCTAAATTAGACCTAGAGAAAAATTTTCTGCTGATAAATATTACTAAGTATTTGTATGATTGACTAACAAAAATCGTGATATATAAATAATTTTATTTAGAGATGTAAAAATTCAGAGTATATTTTAATCTCTGAAATAATTTGTGACCATCCTTCCATAGTTATTAATTACTTTGATATAATTTAGTGATTCTCTGGGTACTGTAATTCAATAATTTTATATGATTTAAGCATTAAGGCTAATATTTTGAAGCCGCAGCAGCAAAGAAGAGCTTCCAAAATTAGTATTTTGCTATTTGCTTCACATGTCCCAAACTCCCTATAAATACACAATATTTGCTACTAATGAGGTCTATTGTTCAACTTCTATCAAACAGATATTTGTTTAATTGAGAATAGTTATCTTAACATTACATTGTGAGTGAAGATTGACTCCACACTCAAATAGACTAACTATACCCCTAATTAGTTCTTGCTTATTTTCCTAACACCCAGTATAATGCCTCATTTACAATAGATACAATTTCTTGGGTTAGTAAGTAAATGAATGAATGGAGAAGTGAGGACTTCAGCCATGAATTTTATTCACTGTGTTACTTAGTGCAGAAATATTTTTCATAAGTTTATTAAAGTATCTGAGTAAAATAAAATAAGTATACATACGTTGATAGCACTCATTGTCATTGAAAAGAAGATAAAAATAAAGTTGGGAAAATTAGTAACTGGTAAGATGTAAATGGTATAATTATTAATGTTTGTTAATAGTACATTATGTCTTAGGAAAGATACACATTCAGCCCTTGGTATACACAGTTCCATATCTGTAGATTCAACCAACTGCAGATCAAAAATATTTTAAAGATTCTGAAAATGTACAGACTTCTTTACTTATTCTATTAAAGCAGTATAACAACTATTTACATAACATTCACATCATATTAGGTATTCTGTAGTTAATCTAGAGATGATTTAAAGTATACAAGGGGATGTGCATAGTTTATATGCAAATGCTACACCATTTTATATAAAGGACTTGAGCATCACAAATGTTGACATCCACAGGGGGTCCTAGAACTAGTCCTCCAGGATACCAAGGGATGATTGTATATATTTTCCAAGTTTCCATTATATATTCATAAATGTACATTTACAAGGCAAAAAATGAAATTCTAGCTTTTAAATATCCAGAATAAAAATAAGGTCAAATTTTCAGGCAAAAATGAAAATAAAGGAATTATTAGTAATGTGTTAAGTCTAAAGAACAACAAAAGCAAACAGAATTGGGGAATTCATTTCCAAAATATTAAAACACTGATTCAAATAAAACATCAAAATTAATAATGAGGACTTCTATAAAAGATGAAATTACACATGTGCAATAAAATATAGTGACATCCATGAAATCGAGAAAAAAAAATAGACTGGGTGAACATGGCAAATGCACTTACTATATTCAAGTATTTATAGCCAACATTTAGAACTGAATTTGCAAAGCAGTAAACTAAGTGCTTTGATTATATATCTCATTTATTTCTTACCACAACACTATCAGAAGGTGGTATTATAACACAGATTTTAAAGATGATAACGGTTAAGGTTTTTTTTTTTTAATGTCAAAGCTAATTCTTCAAGACCTGCTCTTAGTCAATATTCTCTGCACCTAAGTCAATTTAAAAGGAAGAAAAATAAATAAAGAAGGAAATGAAGAACTAATACATTTTAAATAACCAAGATTATTTAATCTAAGAATTATTCACATAAATATGAATAATTTTAATACAGAGAATATATATTAACAAATGAGATATACAAACAGAAAACATCTGTTTATAGAAAAATTATGAAACTTTCAATTAAGACAAAACTATACCCCTCTAAACTAATTAATTTGCACATCATAACAACAACAAACATATATATATATATAGGAAAATTTACTTAAGCAGCAGTGAAAAACTGAAAAAAACTGACTTGCAAAGTTACCTCTCCCAAACATATACATGTAAACAACTGAGATTTCTCTTGGTATATAAATTTTAACAACAGAAAAATGTGATATTATCCTATTTATTTTCTTTAAATCTATCATTTACATTGTAGAGGGGAGCAGTTAAAAATAATAAAACGATAGACCAAACTCAGTAACATAAGCTAAATATTAGCATACTGAATCTACCAGGATAATCAAAGACTATCATACTGTGAAAAACAAGTGATTATTACAATTGTGAAAATGACCATACTGCCAAAAGCAATCTGCAAATTCAATGTAATTCCTATCAAAATACCACCATCGTTCTTCACAGAACCAGAAAAAACAATCCTAAAATTCATATGGAACCAAAAAGGAGCCCACATAGCCAACACAAGACTCAGTAAAAAGAACTAATCTGGGGACCTCACATTACCTGACTTAAAACTATACTACAAGGCCATAGTCATCAAAACACCATGGTACTGGTATGAAAATAGGCACATAGACCAGTAAAACAGGATAGAGAACCCAGAAATAAAGCCGAATTCTCACAGCCAACTGACCTTCAACAAAGCAAACCAAAACATAAAGGGGGGAAAGGACACCCTATTCAACAAATGGTGCTGGACTACTTGGCTAGCCACATGTAGAAGAATGAAATTGGATCATCATCTCTCAGCTTATACAAAAATAAACTCAAGATGAATCAAAGACTTAAATCTAAGACCTGAAACCATAAAGATTCTAGAAGATAACATTGGAAAATCCCTTCTAGACATTGGCTTCGGCAAAAACTTCATGACCGAGAACCCAAAAGCAAATGCAACACAAAGATAAATAGATGGGACTTAATTAAACTAAAAAGCTTCTGTACAGCAGAAGAAATAGCAGAGTTAGCAAACAACCCACAGAGTGGTAGAAAATATTCACAATCTATATATCCAACAAAGGACTAATACCAAGAATCCACAAGGAACTCAAACAAATCAGCAAGAAAAAAACAAACAATTCCATCAAAAAGTGGACTAAGGACATAAATAGACAATTCTCAAAAGAAGGCATACAAATGGCCAACAAGCATATGGAAAAATGCTCAGTATCACTAATTATCAAGGAAATGCAAATCAAAACCACATTGCAATACCATCTTATTTCTACTAGAATGGCCATAATCAAAAAAATAAAACAATAATTAATGTTGGCAGGAATACAATGAAAAGGGAACTTTTACACTGTTGGTGGGAATATAAACTAGTACAACCACTATGGAAAACAGTATGAACAGTCCGTAAAGAACTAAAAGTAGATCTACTGCTTGATCCAGCAATCCCACTATTATGTATCTATCCAGAGGAAAAGAAGTCATTATACAAAAAAAAAATACCTTCACACACGTTTATAGCAGCACAATTGGCAATTTCAAAAATATGGAACCAGCCCAAATGCCCATCAGTCAATGAGTGGATAAAGAAAATGTGACATATATATATATAAATGTGTATATATATATATATATATATATATGTGTATATATATATATGTATATATATACACATACATACATATCACACTAGTCCATTACATTGATGACCTTACGTTAATTGAACCTACTGAACAAGAAGTAACGACTATTGTAGACTTATTGGTAAGACGTTTGCATGTCAGAGGGAGGGAAATATATCTGACTATAATCCAGGAACCTATATCTCCGTGAAATTTCTGGGGGTTCAGTGGTGCATGTCCAGATATCCCTTTAAAATGAAAAAGAGGCCAGGCACGGTGGCTCACGCCTGTAATCCCAGAACTTTGGGAAGCCAAGGGGGTCGGATCACCTGAGGTCAGGAGTTTGAAACCAGCCCAGCCAACATGGTGAAACCATTTCCGTCTTTACTAAAATACGAAAATTAGCCGGGCATGGTGGCATGCGCCTGTAATCCCAGCTACTCGGGAGGCTGAAGCAGGAGAATTGCTTGAACCTAGGAGGTGGAGGTTGCAGTGAGCCGATTTCGTGCCATTGCACTCCAGCCTGGGTGACAGAGCGAGACTCTGTCTCCAAAACAAAAACAAAAACAAAAAAAGTGAAAAATGATGTGTTGCATCTGCCCCCCTCCAAAAACCAAGAAAGATGCCCATCTAGTAGTTTTATTTGCATTTTGGAGTCACCATATATTCTAATTTTGGTGTGTTACTCCAGCCCATTAATCAAATGACCTGAAAAGCTGCTAGTTTTCAGTGGAGTCCAAAGCAACAGAAAGGTCTGTAACAGCTCCAAGCCATTGTGCAAGCTGCTCTGCCACTTGGGCCATGTGAGCCAGTAGATCCAATGGTGCCTGAGGTGTCAGTAGCAGATAGGAATGCTATATGAAGCCTATGTCAGGCTCCAGTAGGTGAATCACAGTTCAAGCTTTTAGGATGTTGAAGAAAAGCCCCGCCATCATCTGGGCTTGCTACTGGGCCTTAGTAAAACCTGAATGCTTGACACATGGGTCACCAAGTTCTCATACAGCAGCCTGAGGTGTTCCTCATGAACTGGGTGTTATCTGACCCACAAAGCCCTAAGGTTGAATGTGCACAGAAACACTATCCTTAAATGAAAGTGGTATACATGTGATAGGGCTTGAGCAGACTCTGAAGGCACAAGGAAGTTACATGAAGAAGTGGCTCCCATGCCCATGGTCCCCACTCCGGCTATGCTGCCCTCTCTCTACAACCCTGCACATACGACCTCATGAAAAGTTCCTTACAATCACTCGGCATAGGAATAGGAGACTTGGTTCTTGATTTCAGATGGTTCTGCATGGTAGGCAGGCGCCACTCAAAAGTGGACAGCTGCAGCACTACAGCCCCTCTCTGGGATACCCATAAAGGACATTGGTAAAGGGAACTCCTTTCAGTGGGCAGAACTTCAGACGGTGCACCTGGTTTCGTACTTCATTTAGAAGAAGAAATGGCCAGATATGCAATTACATACCAAAACAAGCCAATGGTTTGGTTGAATAATCAGAGACTCCCAAGAAACATGATTGGGAAATCGGTGACAAAGAAATTTGGGAAAGAAGTATGCGGATAGACCTCCGTGAGTAGATAAAAAGCCTGAAAGTATTTGTGTCACAGGTGGATGTTTGCTAAAGGTGGACCTCAGCAGAGAAGGGTTTTAATAATTAAGTGAATAAGATGATCTGTTCTATGGATATCAGTCTCTTTCCTCAGTCATCCTTGTTATCACCCTATGGACTCTTGAACAAAGTGGCCATGGTGACAGGGATGGAGGATTTGCATGGGCTCAGCAACATGGACCTCCACTGACCAAGGCTAACATGGGTATGCCCACCAGTGAATGCTCAATATTCCAGCAGAAGAAACCGACCCTAAGCCCCTGATATGGTACCATTCCTCCAGGTAGCTGGGGGGATCAGCCAGCTACCTGGTGGCAGGTTGATTACATTGGACCACTTCCATCATGCAAAGGGCAGTGTTTTGTCCTTACTGGAATAGACACTTAAAATGGATATAGTCTTACCTTCCCTGAACACAATGATTTTGCCAAAACTACTTCTGTGGATTTACAGAATGCCTTATCCACCATTATGGTAATCCATAAAGCATTGCTTCTGATCAAGGAACCCACTTAGCAGCAAAAGAAGTGCTACTGTGGGCCCATGTTCATGAAACTCACTGGTCTTCCATGTTCCTCACCATTCTGACGTAGCTTGCTTGATAGAACAGTATAACATCCTTTTGAAGACTCAGTTACAGCCCCAGCTAGGTGGCAATACTTTGCAGAGCTTGGACAAGGTTCTCCAGAAGGTTGTATATGCTCTCAATGTGGTATTGTTTTTCTTATAGCCAGTATTCACAGTTCCAGGAATCAAGGAACATAAATGGGAGTGGTACCACACACTGTTTCCTCTAATGACTCACCAACAAAACGTTTTCTTACTATTCCTACAACTTTATCCTCTGCTGGCCTAGAGGTCTTAGTTCCAGAGGGAAGAATGCTTCCACCAGGAGACACAACAATGTTTCATTGAACTGGAAGTTAAGACTTTCACCCAGCTATGTTGGGCTCCTTATGCCGCTGAATCAACAAGTAAAGAAGGGAGTTATTCTGCAGGCTGTGATTTATCTTGACTGCTAAGGGTAAATTAGACTACCACTCCACAATGGAAGTAAGGAAGAGTATGTTTAGAAAACATAAGATCCCTTAGCGTATCTTTAAATCACACATGCTTATGATTAAGAGCATTGTAAAACTGCAACAACTCAATCCAGGCAGAACAACTAATGGCCTAGGCTCTTCAGGAATGAAGGTTTGGGTCAACCCACCAAATAAAGAACCATAACCATCTGAGGTGCTTGCTAACGCCAAAGAGAATACAGAATGGGTAGTGGAAGAAGGTAACGATCAGCTATGACCACATGACCAGTTACAGCAACAGAACTGTAATTGTCAAGAGCATTTTCTCCTTCATTTGTTATGAATAGATTTATGTATATAAATATATATTATATATAAATATATATTTTATATATAATATACATATATGTATATACTATATATAGTCTATGTATATATGTATATGTATATATAAATATATATATTATATATATATATATAAATATATATTTATTATATAGTATATATACTATATATAGTATATATATATATACTATATATACTATATATAGTATATATATATATATATATACTATATATAGTATATATATATATATATATACTATATATAGTATATGTATATACATATATAAAAACTATATATAAAATATGTGTGTATATTAAGCAAGTTTTTCTGTTTTCTTTCCTCTCTTATTTCTTTATCACATAACATAAGATGTATTGACTCTATATCAGTAATTAACTACTGTGAATTTTACTTCATATTATTTAAGTTATGAAATATCAAGAAGAAGAGTGACCATTCCTCAAAGAATGTACCTCCTCTCCTGAGGAAGGGGTTAGTGCATTTTTGGTTGTATGCAGGATAGTTATATTATGTTGGGTGGAATTTTGACCTTGTTATTTTCCTTATTTAGACATTGAGCATGACTTAAAGAGATGCATGTGAATGCCCAGATTTCCAAGGAATGGACTTGTGACTGGTCTAAGGGATGCCCAAAGAGCTGGTATTAAAATATTGTTTCTGAGTATGACTGTAAGGTTGTCACCAATCTGGGCCCTGCAATCCATTGAGGGCCTGGATCGAACAAAAATGTAGAGGAAGGCTCAATTTCCTCTCTCTGTTTGAGCTGAGACATCCATTTTCCCTTGCCCTTGGACATTGGCATTTCTGGTTCTCAAGCTTTCAGATTCAGACCAGGACTTACACCATCTGCTCCTCTTGCTATCTGGTTCTCAGACTTGGACTGAATTATATCACCAGCTTTCCTGGCTCTCCAGCTTGCAGACAGCAGAGATCATGGGACTTCTTGGCCCCCACAATGGTATGAGCCAGTTCCCATAATGAGTCTCCTGATATATACATATTCATTCTATTGGTTCCATTTCTCTGGAAAGCCCTGACAAATACACGTGTGAAACTGAAAAGGCATCATGGTCAGGTGGCATCCAGCTCAGTAGTTATTTTTAAATCCCACTGCTGTTTTTTAAAATATTTCTTCTACTGTTCTAAGTTCATCCCTTTTCTTGTTACAAGCCACAGCAGAGGAAAATGAATTATGAGTGCACACTTCCCTTTGAAATAAAATATTATTGTACCTACATCACTTTGAGCTCAGTTTCTGAGTAATAAAAGATACTTTACTCCTGAGGAGATAAAGACCACTAACATATACCAGGAAAAAATAATCAAAATAAAAATGATTTACAAAGATATGAAGTCTTTGGATAATATAGATTCTTTATTGTACTATATTTTTCAATTTGGGCACATTTTAAAGTTATAAAATGAGTCAAATATAATTTTGATACAATCTAGAAATAGGTATATTTTTTCAATTATTCTTTGTAAATCAACTAATATAATACTAAGAACCACGAAGGTCATTACTATGCCCTATGTTTCTTTTGACTCTCAATATAGGGATTCTGAGGTCCACCAGGAGAAAATGGTAACATAATAACATTTCCTAAGAGAGAAAGCTGAATTTGGTTGAATTCTCTTTTTTTAGAGAGATAAATTTTTCTCTGGTGTTTATTGCCAAGGCGAAGTAAGTTTATTGTAGTTGACGGCCGGGCACGGTGGCTCACACCCGTAATCCCAGCACTTTAGGAAGCTGAGGCAGGCAGATCACCTGAGATCAAGTTGGCCAGGCAGCCCGGCCAACATGGTGAAACCCCGTCTCCACTAAAAATACAAAAAAAATTAGCTGGGTGTGGTGGTGGGTACCTGTAATCCCAGCTAATCGGGAGGCTGAGGCACGAGAATGGCTTGAACCTGGGAGGTAGAGGTTGCAATGAGCCAAGATCGCGCCACTGCACTCCAGCCTGGGGGACAGAGGGAGACTCTGTCTCAATAATAAAGAAAAAGTTTATTGTAGTTTTAAATAATTTTTAAATCGTATCAATTTCCTGATAGGATTAATGTGTATAATTCTATCATGATGCTTTGCCCAAACAACTATATAATATTCTAACATAATAAACCAACAGACATTGTAGATCATTCCTATATAACCACAAATTAAAAGAAAAAACTACTGGTATCAGAAGACTCTGATAACCACAACTACCCCACAACCATGTCTATGCCACATTTTACCCCTCCCCATCATCCTATTACTTCCTCTGTAAGCAAGGTCCGGTATTAGCATCTATTATAGGTTTGTTATTAAGAGTAAATGAGATTATCTATGGAAGGCACTCAACATAGATTTGATGCCTACTGAGTACTGAATATTAATGATTATTTCTTCTTCAGAAGACATGATCATTGCTACCTCATTTATTCTGCAAGTATTTATCGAATTCCTAAAATACAATCAGTGCTCCAGGTGCTGATATTTCAGACAATCTCATTGCTCTCCTGGAGCTTACATTGCAGTATAGGAAAAAATAGACAGTCATAAATAGCATAAGCTGGAAAGTAAGTAGAACTAGAGACAAAGAAAAAAAGAAAGTAAAGAAGGGAAATAGAAGGGGTGTAGGCGTGGGGGTGAAGTTTTCCAGTAAAAGGCAGAAAATATAAACATTTCATACATGTCAAAGGAAGTGAAGAGGAATGACTCACACAGACTCAAAGAGCATTTAATGCAGGAAGAACAGGTGCAGAAGCCCTGGGGGAGCAAATGATGGGTTGAATTGAGGCTGTTTTCTGGAAGGCTGATCATGAGAGGCTTTCAAGAGCAAGAGGAAGGACATTAGCTTGACGGAGAGCCATTGGAGGGATGTCCACGGAGGGGCAGGGTCCGACTTGAATTCTCACAGAATCTTCCTGGCTGCCAAGTAGAAAATAGATGGGCAGGAGTCAAAGTACAAAGAGACAGCAGTTTAGAGGCACCTGTTTTCATTTTATTTCAGATGTCTCTGAAATGCTTCACTGCATCTGCATTGCTTTTCTGAATCAGTCATCTCCCTTCTAATTCATATCAGCTTTAAAGGAATTTTATTTCTTGCCTTTATTATGCTTCCACACAATCCCTTCTTTTTATACTCTGTATTAAAACATCTTTCCACTCTCTTTTTGTTTCTTTCATATCTTCAGAGGTTCCATCTGGCCAGAACCACGGTTTATAAGTCAGGGTTCCCAAACAGAGCACTCTTAAATAGCAAAAGAAAACACGCAGAATTGTTGTGTATGGCCATCTTCATGACAGCTTGTTAGAGCGTCACCACTGATGGTCTATTACAAACGTAGGAAATATCTTATTAAATTTTTCCCCAATAATCTCTAAGAGAATTGTTAGTATAACAAAATCATGTGTTGCTTAACACCAGGGATACGTCCTGATAAATGTTAGGTGATTCCATCATTGTGTGAACATCATAGAGTGTACAAATTTAGATATCATAGTCTACCACACACCTAGCCTATATAGTATAGCCTATTGCTCCTGGGCTACAAACCTGTGTAGCATGTTACTATACTATATACTGTAGGCAGTTATAACACAACAGTAAGTATGTGTCTATCTAAACATAGAAAAGGCGCAGTAAAAAAAGTATAAAAGATTTTTTTTTTTACTTTCTTTATTATACTTTAAGTTCTGGGATACATGTGCAGAACGTGCAGGTTTGTTACATAGGTATACACGTGCCATGGTGGTTTGCTGCACCCATTAACCCGTCATCTACATTAGGTATTTCTTCTAATGCTATCCCTCCCCTAGCCCCCCACCCCACGACAGGCCCCAGTGTGTGATATTCCCCTCCTTGTGTCCATGCGTTCTCATTGTGCAACTCCCATTTATGAGTGAGAACATGCGGTGTTTGGTTTTCTGTTCCTGTGTTAGTTTGCTGAGAATGATGGTTTCCAGCCATGGGACACCTGTACAGTGCACTTACCATGAATGGAGCTTGCAGGACTGGAAGTTGCTCTGGGTGAGTCAGAGTGAATGGGGAGTGTATGTGAAGGCCTAGGATATTACTATACACTACTATAGACTTTATGAGCATTTACAAATCAGACAATACTAAACTTGTTAATTTTTTCTTCAATAATAAATTAACCTTAGCATACTGTAACTTTTTTAATTAATAATTTTTTAAGTTTTTAAGGCTTTTTGACTCTTTAGTAATAACGTAGTTTAAAACATATCGCAGAGCTGTACAAAACATATTCTTTATATCCTTATTCAATAAGCTTTTTCCCAATTTTTTAACTTTTAAAACTTTGGTAAAAATTAAGACACAGACACATACATTAGCCTAGGCCTGCACAAGTCAGGATCATCAATATCACTGTTTTCCACCTCCACCTCTTGTCCCACTGGAAGGTATTCAGGGGCAATAACAAGCATAGAGGTGTCATCTCCTATGATAACAATACCTTCTTCTGGATGCCTCGTGAAGACAGCCTGAGGCTGTATTATAGTTAACTTGTTTGATTTTTTTTAATAAGTCGGGGTACACTCTAAAATAACAGTAAAAATATAGTATTGTAAATACGAGGCAATAGGAATTTTCCAGCTCCATTATAATCTTATGGGACCACTGAAATGTCATTATACAGCATGTGACTTTACATAGGAAATATGTACTTTGAAGTTTTATATTCTATACAATATTGTAAAATAGTCTTCAAACCTATGTTGCTAAAAAGAGAAATACAAAAACTTTAAGCACAATGGAAATGAACGTTGCTGAATTTTAAAAGAATGGCATCTCTGGTAACTCTATTGCAGTTTTCAGTCCTTATATTTTGTTGAATCAAGACCTTTTAGAAGGAGTCTGTGCTCCATAAATTTGCTTTTTTATAATAAAAGCAGCTCTTTAATTTATACTTGAAATTAGCTAAATAAACCACCATATCATAGAACCCTAGCCTGTGTCCAAATTTTGTGTTTTCTAGAATTCTGATATCCCTAGAAATGTTTCTTTAATGTCAGCTGTTAAAAGCCATTTGAATATTCTCATTATAATTTACTAGACTATAGAAACTTAGACTGATGATGAAAGCTATAGTTATTTCGTTGATAATTCAATAAATCCAATTACTTAAAGATGCAAAATGAATAAAATATATTTAAATGGGATTTTTATTTGATACGCATTCCAACTAGCATGCACTAGAGCTCAGAAAGGGTGGTTGCCCTAACATGTTTTATTTTGTCATTGTGACTATGGAAGAGGCATTTGCATTGGGAAAAATTCCCCGTAATCACAGTTGAGGGCTCCTTGAGCCTCACAGGGAAACTCCTCTGTGCACACAGAAGCCTTGTGGCTACAGCCACCATTGCTCTGTCTCTGAAGGGAGCAAGATCATCTGTGAACAACAGCAGAAATGACAACATGGAAGGAGAAAGGTAGCTCTTGAGATGGAAGGGTAGGAAAATGTCTGTCATTCTCAGTAACTACTAAGGCAGCTAGATCTTCAAAACCTGGGATTATATTGTATGTCATGGAATGTTTTATTGACTCTGATGCCAAAAATCTTATAAAAATTTGGGACATTTACTGCCTTCTTATTTTCAACTTTTTTTCTGACTCTGTAACACCCACCTCCTCCTTTCCTCCCACCAAAATAATAGAACAAAATAAAATAAACAGACAAAAAAACAAACAAAAACACCCACCTTTATCCATATAGCACTTTGAAAACAAATGATTAGGGGCATAATCTATAAACATTAGCAAAATTGCACTTACTTTCAAAGTTACAGGTACACAGTGGTTCCTCAACCTTTCAGAGATCCCTGTATGGCAGACATAGATCTGAGTGACTGGGCTGGTCAGGAAATTCTGGGAATCTGCAGGACACTTGGACCCAAGAAACCCTTATTATGTATAAGAAACTCCAAAAGCCTTCTGCTGGCTTCTTCTGATAGACCCCTAGAGCAATGGTTGTGGGTTAATATCCACTGGTATATTAATTTCCCATTGCTGCTATAACAAACTACTACAGGCATAGTGCCTTGAAAAAACACAAATGATAATATTTGTGTTATCAGTGTTGTGTAGGCTGGAAGGTTAACATGAGTCACACTGGGATAAATTCAGGGTGTCTACAGAGCTGCATTCTTTTCTGGAGACTGTAGGAGAAAATCTAGTTCCTTAACTTTTCCAGTTTTTAGAGGTTACCTTCATTCCTTGGTTGGAGTCCCCATTAACCTATTTTTAAAGCCAGCAACAGTAAGTGGGTGGAGATCTTGTGATGTTGTATCTCTCGGGCCCTTCTTCTGTCATCAAGTCTCCATCTTCAGTTGGGAAACATTTCTCACTTGTAAAAGTCATGTGATTACATTGGATTCACCTGAATTACCCAGGACAATCTCCCCCATTTCAAGACTTTTAACATTAATCACACCTGCAATGTCACTTTTGCCACAAAAGGCAGCATATTCACAGGTTCCAAGGATTAGAATGTGGACAATTTCAGGGGACCATTATTCTGTCTTCCTTACCCAGGAAGTTCTGAAAATACATTGTTACCAGGTTCTGTTGCACCACACAATTTCTAACTTTTTTTGTCCAGTATAGGACCCAGGAATCAGATTTTATTCAAGTTTCCCAGGTGGTAATAAAGAACAGTCAAACATTTCAATCACTTTAGATCATGGTATCAGTGTTTTGCAAACTTTAATGTGCCAAGATTCACCCACTAGTCTTGGTAAAAAATGCAGCTTTGGATTCCAAAGGACTGGTGTGGGGGTGCTTGGTTATTCAAAACGGGGACCCTGGTTCGGCATCTCCTAGGACCTTGTTATGAAAAAACTCAGACCCCTCTTCAGGTCTACGAAGGTGGAATCTACATTTTAATAAATTCCTTAGGTGATCTGTGGGAATAGTAAACTCAAAAAATAATGCCTTACCTTTGAGTATGGGTAATACTAATAACAGGACACATGTAATCACAATTAGCAAGTATCATTCAACTTAAAACACACCATACTTTTACATTATTTTGACTTAATAATTTGCAAACAATGGTATTTTTCAGAAACAATTCAATATATCTTGTTCATTTGGAAATACACTCAGTCATGATAACAGAGTTATAAAACATCTTACCCTTCATAAATTGGGGCAATAATACCTACCCAACCTACAAACAACTCTGACACAAGACTAGATGAGGAAGCGAATTTGATGAAGAAGCCCAAGATATTCCCATTATCATAGCTCTAAAATTTTTCACATTGCCATTGAGCCCACCTCCTGTGGACATGCATCTCAGTCTTCCAGTTCCCAGTGATAGACACCTAAAGGAAAAGGCTCATAACTGGCCTAGGAGAGCTTATGGTTATGAATATTATTCCTTTCATCTCTCATTCTCTTGATGGCTTGTATGTAATTTTGTTAAGTAAAAACTCTCCTGAGATAGAGATCTCTGGCAAAACAATAATAAATTATCTAGCCATTTCTAAAAGGTTGATATCCTTCCTCCAGAATAAAGATTTAAAATACCGTGAGAGCAGAGGTTCTTAAAGGTTAGCAGGCATCAGTGAAACCTACAGAGCTTGTTAATGCACAAATTTTAAGCACCTCCAGAGTTTCCGATTTAGGGGGCAGAAATTTGTACTTTAGGGGTGAATTCTGCACTCACATTTTGTATATGGATTAATACCAAATATTTATGTAATAGCATTCACTTCATTATTTCCTGCCACAGCAATGTCATTAGTATAAAGGCAAAGAATACCTTTTAGGTTTTAGCTAGAGCTTAACATACTATATAGCAATAGCTACTAGACACTTTTCCATCAACCAGTAAATATACAATTAACTGGACAATTTGCAATGAGTCAGATTAGGACAATTGCAGTGAGTCAGATTAGGGCAGGCAATGAAACAAAAAATGGAATAAAAAATCATTGATTGAATCAGTCCCTGAATACAACACATTTGTATAGGCAAAACAAGATCATATTAGCATGTAATCAATATAAGGTTATTAATGAGATATTTTGCATACTTTTATCATACTATTTTTTTTCCATTTTGATATGCATTTTATGCTTAGAGCCTATCTGAGTTTGGACTTCCCGCATTTCAGGCACTTATTTTCTAGTAACATGTGGCTATTGGCTCCATATTGGACAGTGCAGGTCCCTGGGTTCCTTTCAGGTATAATTTGTCTTTAGTGTTCTTAACAGGTCCTGCAGGAGCACTAAATAGCAAGCTTGTGAAACCCAGAACTTCATGCTTACTTAAGTAGCTATTGATGGAGGAAAAAATGTCAAGTGTTCTTCCTGCTGTTCACTACTGTCTCAAACTTCTGCTTCCTCGCTTGTGCTTCTAGGACTTTTATTAATCATTCTTCACATCTCTCCCATCCCTTCATGGCACACAGAGTTATAGGTCTTACAGAACAATAGCCCATGGGCCTGGACGACCCTCCCCATACTCCTCGTGAACAGAATACAAATTCTAGTAATATATTATGAATGATCACTTATAATCCTATTATTTAATTTTTTTTTTACCAGCCAGTGAAGCCTTTCCTAATGAAATTTAGCTTGTAAGTCTGTCTGTAGGCAGTATTGATTGCTTCCCATTGATATTAGCCATTTCCACAATGAAGGAATGTGGGGTCCTAAGTAGATGTCACACCCTCAATTATGTCTTACGATTTTCTCTACAAGGGTTTTCTTTGGACGACCTTTTCTAGTCACTGAGCCTCCTGTGATGTTACCTTTTCTTATGAGCTTTCCCCTTATTGGGCCATTGTTTACTAATTGCCTTACCAGTCAAAAATACAAGTAGTCCATCTGTTCAGTCCCGAAGTATATGCCAGGTTCAGAAATCCAGCATAAACTGAGATAAAAGTGGATAATCTGCATAAGCACTCAATGTGATAACACACAGATGAATTCATACTCCTGTCACCCAGACTCTTCCTGCTGAACATTGTCACCCTTTGTAGTGAGTGAGTTCATAGACTGTATCCAATAACAGTGGATCTTTGAGTATACTATTCCCTATATATTTTTAATGCCTAAGTTCATTTCTGAATACAAAAATCTTTCTGAAGATAAAAGTCAAAAAGTTGTTGAATTAAAATTAGGATAGAGAGAGCATATTCCTCTATGCCCCATTTTTAATATACAATGTTCAAGTACAAGAAGTATCTCTTCTTTTTTGTCATTGAAAGAATGTAGTCAACAGTTTTTGAAATTCATTACTAACTGGATTACAGGTAACTCTATCTAACCATGTGGGTTTCAATGGTCTTCAATTTCCCTAAAACTCATACTTCATCTTTAAAAACTTAATGCATACAAGAATACAACTACTATCTTTTGAGACAGTTGATTATTTGTCATGCATGATACAATCTTACCGTTATATCAACATTAGCAAACTAACGTGGTATTTAGATTTAGGAATGCAGTCACAGAAATAAAGCATTCTGTATTTCTGGCTACCCCAGTACCGTGGTGATCCTCTACTAGACCAGGGCTCTCCAGTAGTATTTGCTGAGATGAACAAAGACTTCTTTTTGTATCTGCACTGTCAGGATGGTAGCCATTAACCACAGGTGGCATTTGAGCACTGAAAATGTAGCTAGTAAGACTGAGGAATAGGATTTTTAATGTCATTAATTATAATTAATATTAATATGAATCTAAATTTAAACAGATGCATGTAGCTGGTGGCTATACTATATTAGCCATCAAGAGCTAGACCGTGCAGTCAGATCTGGAGTGTCTTAGCTAATCCAAAAGTCTATAATCAATCACAGTATGAAGAGTCCTTAATAAAACTAAAGTCACTAATTTCTTCCTATATTCAGTGAGACAATTAATACCTATCAATTAACAAAAATAGGGCATTTCTGAACACATCTGGATTAATGTAAGGCCGGGTGCAGTGGCTCACGCCTGTAATCCCAGCACTTTGGGAGGCCGAGGCTGGCGGATCGTGAGGTCAGGAGATCGAGACCATCCTGGCAAACACAGTGAAACCCCGTCTCTACTAAAAATAAACACACAAAAAAAATTAGCCGGATGTGGTCGTGGGTGCCTGTAGTCCCAGCTACTCGGGAGGCTGAGGCAGGAGAATGGCGTGAACCTGAGAGGCAGAGTTTGCAGTGAGCGGAGATCGCGCCACTGCACTCCAGCCTGGGCGACAGAGCGAGACTCCGTCTCAAAAAAAAGAAATATCATTTATAGAAATTATGGTTTTACCTTAAGATGACTCCTGCCGCTAAGAGTTTAAGAGTTTTAGAATTTGAGCATCAACTCCGCATGAATCATTCCTACTCCATACAGCATATATTAAAACACTTTTTCATCACCTTCTTCTGAGCGCAATCTCTTTGTCATCAAACTCTTAGTAGTTTACTACAAAGATAAAGCATTTTCAAACTCATTGAGGCTCATATATTTTTCTCTGAAATGTCAATAACATTTTCTTCACATTCATTAACCGACGGCTGATGATTCATTTGTCAACTTACCAATATCTTAACACCACCCTCAAGCATTTTAATCTTCTATTGTATAAATCTGAAAAAAAAAAGAAAGAAAGAAGTTGTGGATTAATCAGCTTCTGTGTTTCCGTACTTAGTAAGCTGAATACTGTTGAAAAAAAATTGCATTCATTTTAAATTCATTGATTTATTCATTCATTCATCCACTCATTCATTTAAAATGTGTGTGTATGTGTGTGTGTGTGTGTGTGTGTGTGTTTAATTGAGTGGCTACTAGATCCAGGTGCTGCACTTGTGTTAAGGCAAGGAAATGGCAGTGAAGAAAGCCAAGGCCCTACTGTGATAGAGTCTATATTCTAGTAGGAATGGATGGCAATTAAAAAAAGAAACAGCTAAATCAATAGGTGCCAGTCAGAAATAAATGAAAAAAATCAAAGTATATTAAGAGGCACAGAGTAGCTATGGTGTGTGTACCGATTCATGCATTGTGAAGAAGGAAAGCTAAGTGATATCTGAACACACAGCTGAATGCAGTAGTGAATGGAGCCATAGGATGTCTAAAGGAACGCATCACTGGCAGTAGGTAGGCTCTGTGGTAGAAGTATGCTTGGTATGTTGGAAGAAGATTAAATTGCAGAGCAAATGAAGTTGATCTACAACAATAAAAGCTAAAATAAGAATGAGAGTTTGTGGAGAGATTTGCAGGCCATAGCAGGGAATTTTTATTTTCTTCTGAAAGAAATGGGAGCCATTGGAGGCCCTGGAGTGAAGGAGTGATATACTATGGCTTCCATCTGTGTGAAGAACACGGTAGGAGACTGAGAGGGAAAGGCTGTTATGATAATATAGAGGGAAGGCATTAGAAACTTAGATTACGCTGGTGGCTGTGTAGATTATAAAATGTGGTCAATGTGCAGACACATTTGAAAGTTATAACCAATAGAACTTGTTGATTGATTAAATATAAAATGTGAGACAAAGATAGGAGTCAAAGATAACTCCAAGCTTTTGGCTTAAGTGAGTAGACTAATTATATAATCACGAATATCATTTTAGATATATATCGCAAGTGTATGGTTTCCAACCTTAACTGGGCACAAATTCTTCTTCACATCCATTCCTATTTTCTAGAATGATGAATTCAAAAGTCTATGACCCTGCCCAAACTTCCTTATGTTCAGAAAACAAGCTTTGGTACTTCAGACCAATCCTCAGGATTCTCATCTGAAAAACTTATATAATAACAGTAGTAATTGTAGTTGGCAGATTAAATGTTACTCTCATTGGATGTAATTGACATGGTCAGGAATCTGTTTCTACTTTTTTAACAGCATCTTAAAGTGCTGGGAATGTTATATGATACATACTGATGCTCAATTATTTTTGGTGTGTTAATGAATTTTTTATTTGTAACAATTGACACACTGTATATCATTTAATATTTATTATAAATGTTTAAGGTAGGCCAAATATTTATAGATGAGAAAACTGAAGAAAAAAAAGACTAAGCAATATCCCAAGTTTGCATAGTTAGAAGCAGTAAAGTTAGGATTGGACCCAGATAATCTGATTCCTGAATTCATGCAAGTAATCACTGTGTGATATTATCTTCCAGGCACTTTGTGAGGTTGGAATGAGATAGTGTGATCGTGATGTTTAGCACGGTACTTGGTGAACAGTAAGTACCAACACATGTTGGCCATTTTGTTGTTATTTCTACGGTAATAGAAACATTCCTATCTTAGCCTATCTGTAAGATTCATTGTTGTCAAATCCCTCTCTGCAAACACTTTTAGATGAGCACCTTCTTCTTTATCCATACTAGTGCTACCATAGCTTGACCCAGTTTCAGGTCCCTGTCAGAAAAAAAAGTCATACTTTCACTGTTCTTTCTTTTCTGTCTTCCAATTAGTAGCACCTGCAATTTAATTGTTGAAGCATCATCTCTCTACCTCCATTCCCAAGGACACATGGATAATAAGTAAAGGTTCATGGATAGATAGGGTGGAGTCAGAGATGGGGTGAGAATGGTCAGGGAGCTGGAATATTATCAAGTATGCAATTAGACACGTGGATAGGATTGGCATCATGTGTGACATATGAATTCTGGATAAAGTAGGGAAAATTTTAAATATTACTTGATAAAGTTTTTAAATTTAAAGACAGTCTTACTTGGCCACCCAGACTGAAGTGCAGTCATAGTTCACTGTAATCTTGAAATCCTAGTCTCAAGAGATCCTCCTGCCTCAGCCTCCATAGTAGTTGGGACTATAGGCATGAGTCAAAAAATTAAAAACAAAATTTGTAGAAATTGTGTCTTACTATGTTGTTCAGGGTGTTCTTGAACATCTGGCTTCAGTGATCTTCTGCCTTGGTCTCCCAAAATGCTGGGATTATGGGCATGAGCCACCCTGCTCAGCCTAAAGCTGAGGTATTTAATGTGTGTCTGAGTGTGTATGTGCACATGCCATGCAATCTCTATAGCCTCAAAACAGTTATGTTTTTAGGTAGAAAGGGAGAACATCTTTATAAGTAATGATAATAATTTGCTGTATATTTTAAAATAGCACTTTTATTGATGATAGTTGCAATAGTGATGACATTAGAAAACTCTAAATTTTAACTTTTAAAAATGGTTTTTATACAAAAAACATTTCACTCAATATCAATAATAAGAGTACTCGTTTTTGAATTATATTTTAGTTGACTATTTTATGAGCATACTACTATTAATGTTCTTAATACAGATATATATTAATATATGTCATTTTATGTATAGTCTTCCATCTTAAGTTTTGTCTTACTAAACATATAAGATTTTCGTTTGATCCAAATATAGAAATAGAATATGTTTAATTCTGAACTCAAAACAACTTTAGATAAACATATTCTTCTCAAAGTACAATAATATAAAAGTTACTTATAATTATCATAATATCAGTATGCAAATATGTACCAACAACAACTGTATGTATCAAAAGTCTTTCCATATTGGGTCATTTCATTCTCAGGATGTCAGAAACATTGCTATTTCATTGGAGTAACACTTCATTTGGTCTTATCTAGATACATATGTAAATATTACATCAAATATAATTAGATTTGTTTCCCCCTCTAGAAGGAGACAAACAATGAATATGTCTGATTAACATTAATGATGATATATTGAATAAATAAGGGTTACATAATTAAAATTCTAGTTTGAACAGTGACTAAACTACCAGATTCAACACTTTATACCTCTTTCTTAAAAAGCAGTTGCTGTTGAATTACTGCTTTACTCACTCAGCTGTCAGTTTGACAGTCATTTTAAAGTTTGACAATGAAAGAATGTTTTAATGTGACAAATAAAATTCAGGTAGTTAAGCCATTCTGACCAGTAAAATATCACATACAATCTATGTAGTTTCATCATCTTCTCACTCCAGGCTTAGACAATGTTGTGGTTTGAATATTTGTCCCGTCTGAACCTCATGTTGAAATTAAATTGCCATATTAAAAGGTGAGTCCATCAAGTTACTAGGTTATGGGGGCTCCACCCTCATGAATGGATTAATGCTATGATTGTGAAAGTGGGTTAGTTATTGTGAAAGTGGGTTGTTATATGGGGAGCATGGCCCATCCTGTTTTCTCTTTTTGCACATAATTCTTGCCTTCTTGCCTTCCTCCATGGGAAGTAACACAGCAAGAAGACCCTTACCAGATGTTGATTCCATGTTCTACGACTTCCCAGCCTCCAGAACTGTGAACCAAATAAACGTATTTTCTTTATCAATTACCCAGTCTGTGGTTATTCTGTTACAGCAGCAGACAAAGAACTAGGACAGACAATAGATATTTTGTAGATTTATAAAATGAACTCACAAAACTGCACACATCTTTCCCCTATAGTGGAAGATTATGAATTGAGAATAGGAAGTGAAGGAGAGAGAGTATAAGAAAGAAAACGTTTTTTTGTATTCTCATCTAAACCTTGAAAGTGTTATATTTTGCACAAATGAAGAAAGCCAACAGATTGTTTCTGGGAGAGTATCATTGGAGGTCAGTAATTTGGGGGTGTTATCACAATTCAAACATGGGCATGTTTTCATTTGTGCATCAGTAATAGAAAAACACTGGAGAATTAATTACTATTGAATGAATAACAAGAGTATTATTTTATCTATTTACGCTAACAACAGTTATAGTTTTTAAAGGAGTTGGCATACTCGTTAGCTGGTCAGCACTCTCACCACCTAATAGAAAAATTTATTTTGAAGATCAGATAAGATAAATCTATTTTGAAAATCAGTAAGATAAACTATTATTTAATATAAAGTAAGAATGATGAGACTTCTTGAATGCCCTTACGGAATGCTGTTAAACATTTCAACAGTCTGGTTGATCAATCTCAACCATAAAGACTTCAATGCCAAATGGGCAAAATTAGTGTTGCTTTTGAATTAGAATTTTATATCTCTTCAGCCCTTAGAAACACAATTGGCAAAGCCTCTATTGTATATAAAATATTAATATTTTATATACAAAAGTATATAAAATCAAAGTTTTAATCAAAGCTCTTGTCTTTACATTGCACATGTTAAAGTGCTCTTAATATTTAAAAATATTACTAAACATCTATTTTTCTGTATATTAATACTAATCTTGACAATTCGATTTTTTTCAGCTACTCTTATGACTCATCACTCTATCATGGTATTTCATTGGAATAAAGTGGCTAAGAGCTATTTTTCATCCATTCAATTTATCATTCATCTGAAATCTGCCCTATTTCAGAACATGGCATTTCTAGCCTGTCTCTAAGCTTTGGGTCTCCACCCTTCTGGGGCGCTGCTATTTCCAAAGCACAGCTTTTCCTTATCTAATAATATGACCACCAAGAGATTCTAAGATAAACACAAAGATGGGGAGAAAAAGCAAAGTATTCCCCAGAACTTAGTTGAAAGTATCTTTTAGATTAGGACTACTCTTCCACTTGGGGCAAAAGCAGATAGTCCTTACTGAATTAACCCACTGAACAAATTTTTAAAAATGTAGTTCTTGAATATTCTTCAAAAATATTCAATCAAGCTAGCTCGTAAGTGTACCTCACCCAGTAATCATAAATATGTATAGTAAATTGTAGAAATCAGACTTTGAGGGCAGGAAGTTACTTTAGAAACCAAATTCCCAGAGGGCTCTAAAAAGTTGAACAAAGTCATGAAACTAGTGTTACAGACAAGATTATAATCTATAGATTCTGATTCAGAGACAACTGCTTTGGCAATGTGGTTCTTTTCTGACTATCCTTCGGTTATATTTTTAATACATCTCCTGACATAACTCAGAGTATGATTAATTATAATAAAAAAACTTCAAACATTTTGACGGATTATATCTTATAATTGAACTTCAGTTACTACCTTTTGGCAATGTGATGAAAACAATGATTCATCACTGACAGTGGAGGCAGCACTTTGTAAAGGAAAGAACAGGTAATTTGGAATCAGTCAAACCTAGGGTCCGAAGCCCTATTACTCCACTTACTAGCTGCATGTCTTTGTCCTAAGTATTGACTTCCATGAAACCCCAGTTTTCTGATCTTATCACGGTGTGTTATGGCATTGAAGCTTAACATTTTTATGTCTTGCACAATGCCTGATACACAGTAGGACCCAAAATAAGTGTTTTCATCTCCCTAAGAATACAACTCATGACAAAATGAGGACAATATGACCTCATATTTTTACAGTAAGTAATTACAAATATTTATCAACGTGAGGAACTCTGTAAAACATCTCATCTTTGTGAATTTAGAACTAAGCACAATGAAGACGACCAAGGATTTTTAAAGTGACAATTAAATTTTATACTTTATTAACAATATGATCCCTTTATGATATGCAAACTAGAATAAAAAAATCATAAATTACAAGTTTTAAAAAAATTTAATTGGCGATAAAAGAGCAAAGAGATAGATATTAAAGCTACTTATGCCATTTCTTAATTGTTAGTACTGCTCCATAGACATAGGTAATCACAATATTTAGAACCCTGAAGGGGTTCCAATTGTGTCTTTCACTAAGACTCCAAGCTATGGAAGATCTAGACTATGTTAAGATAGCCTACAATTGTTTCACCACTGTGTTTTTCTTAAAAATGCCAAGTAAAGTCATGCACAATTAAATAAGCCATAATTTATATGCCTCTTCATAAATTACTAATTTTTTTTTTTTGAAATGGAGTCTCGCTCTGTCACCCAGGCCAGAGTGCAATGGGGCGATCTCAGCTCACTGCAACCTCCGCGGTGAGCACAGTTCAAGCAATTCTTCTGCCTCAGCCTCCTGAGTAGCTGGTACTACAGGTGTGTGCCACCACACCCGGCTAATTTTTATATTTTTAGTAGAGACAGGGTTTCACCATCTCGAACTGGTCTCGAACTCCTGACCTCATGATCCGCCCACCTCAGCCTCCCAAAGTGCTAGAAGTTACTAATTTCATTTGACTTTTTCATTTATTCCACTTATTACCCTGAATTGTATTATGCTTCCTATTGTTTCTTTCCACTCTCATTCTCCTTTAGAACAGAACAGTCACGTGGAACACGCTGAAATATGAAAACTGTCCTTATTTGATTGCAGTAAATAAACTCCCAGGTTAGCAGTTTGGGAGTACTACTATTCAACATCAGACACAGTTTTACAAACTGGGGAAATTAATTAGCATGTCTGGACATAGAGAAAACAAGGACCAGATAAATCAAGGCCCATAATTCAAGACCCACTCTTCATTCAGACCTACAAAAGGAAGGCACCATTTTACCTACTATCCCATTTAATGTACCACATTTAATAGCCCACATTTTCCAGTGATAACACCTAGTAAAAGGGAATGGTACCTAATACTGGATTATCACATTGTTAATACCATGATTTATCTGATTAAAGCCCCCAAACCTAATATTACTGAAATTACCTACTACTATGGATTTGAATAATATATTTTATATTTGCCTATTTCAATAGCCGCTTAGCAGTTTTCCTTTACCTTCAATGCAACACACGTCCCTTTTACCTGGATACCCATATAGCATCCCCACAATCTTCCCATATCACACAATCTTTGCAGGCAAGATCTCGATCACATCCACCTTTATCCAAGATTACCTGAGTAAGATAGATTGATGGCATCAATGGGAATGATACATCATGGATATGGTACATTGGTGAGATTCTTCTCTGAGCAGATTCATTCTGTGCACTTAGTCAAGATACAAACATTCACAAAGCAACTGATAAAAAGGGATGAGCCATTACCATACACATAGTACAAGGTCCCACCACCTCACTTAAATTTCTGGGCATTATTTGGTCAGTCAAAAACTGCCATCAAGGAATAACTTTTTCCCTATTAGAACCCTCAATTTTGAAACAAGCTCAACATGTTTTTGGCATTTTTGGTTCTTGAAGCAATGAATTCTTCATTTACAAATTTCACTTAAATCCATTTTATAGTTATCTTCAAATTGGTCCGCTTTAAATGGTGTCTCCAACAACAAAAGGTCCAGTCTTTACAAAATGTAAAAAAAAAAAAAAGAGAGAGAGAGAGACTACCTTCATCACACCTCAGACACTTTTTCACTCCAGAGGACCCAAGAACTTCCTCTCATGCATCCTGGAATCTCTGGAATACACATGTTGGCTATAGGTTGCTCATAGGCTTCTGGTGCCAAAAAACGGTCTTCTTTGGCCACCAGATATATTTCATCAGTATAACCACTGTAGGCTGAATATTGAACCTTTTGGAAAATGATGCTAACTTGTCTCAAAGGTGGGCCTTAGGACTCATTTTCCTATCATGCCTTAGGGCATGGATAAAGCATCCTACAGATCCAACACAGCCATAGAATCCTTCTTACTGAATAAAAATGATACAGAGTAGAGCCTCTGGCATATTCCACCTACAGAAGGAAGTCACTTTGTTTGTTTCCAGTCCCATAACAGATGCGATGGTACTGGAGTATGTCGACCCTCTGCTAGACACATCAACCATCGGGAAAGCCTCTTGGGATCAACCGACTAAACAGAAAAGGTAGTTTGTGTACTTTATAGAACAGAACACAGTGTCACTATTACGTGTAATGGAGTCAGAAGAGATTTACTATCTATTGATAGTACATCCTTTTCTAACAAATGTTATATCCATTTCTGACAAAGATGTCCCACCCGAAGACAATACCCAAAGATCAGAACAATCAAACAAACTTTAGCCATTTTTGGCACTAGAATATGCCATAGCCCACAATTATCTCCATCTACATATTTTTCCAGGCTCTTGAGCCATTGCCAATGGTCTGCTCATCTGGTCAAAGAACAACCACAATTCAGTAACCAAAGTCATCCCTTTGGGGTAAAATTCTATGGCAATGTCCTCACAGATAATAAAAATATAAATCAAAATCACACCTATATCTGTACATACTCAAACTACAATACAAGTTATTACCAGATACTTCTTATTCCTTTTGAAGTTGTAAACATTATTGATAGTGACCAAGGAACTAATTTCATTTCTCAAAATACTCAAGGCACTCTTGAGCAAGGAATTCAGCAGAGCTTTAATCTCCCTTACCAGCCTTAGGCTATAAGCCCCTTAGAGCACCATAAAGTCTTACATAAATAAGTACAATTATTTAATTATTACACATTTTGGTAATCAACTAAATATCAAACATGAACTTTAATGGAACTAACGCTACTTCTGATGTTTTACATCTGACAGCTTTTATACCCCATCCCGCTCTCCTCCCTTCTTGTCCCCCTTCTGGGCAAGCAAGTAAGAAAGTCATTGTGCTCCCTCTCTGGAGACGGGGG